>NC_000002.12:17812785-17964300 GCF_000001405.40 Homo sapiens | reverse complement strand
CACACCCACACCCTCTGCAGTCATCTCTCCTGGATGCGCATGCACACACACACACACACACCCTCTGCAGTCATCTCTCCTGGATGCGCATGCACACGCACACACACACACCCTCTGCAGTCATCTCTCCTGGATGCACACACACACACACACACACACCCTCTGCAGTCATCTCTCCTGGATGCACACACACACACACACACACACCCTCTGCAGTCATCTCTCCTGGATGCACACACACACACACACACACACCCTCTGCAGTCATCTCTCCTGGATGCACACACACACACCCTCTGCAGTCATCTCTCCTGGATGCACACACACACGCACACACACACACCCTCTGCAGTCATCTCTCCTGGATGCACACACACACACACACACACACCCTCTGCAGTCATCTCTCCTGGATGCACACACACACGCACACACACACACCCTCTGCAGTCATCTCTCCTGGATGCACACACACACGCACACACACACACCCTCTGCAGTCATCTCTCCTGGACGCGCGCGCGCGCGCACACACACACACACACACCCTCTGCAGTCATCTCTCCTGGATGCGCGTGCACACACACACACACACCCTCTGCAATCATCTCTCCTGGATGCGCGCGCACACACACACACACACACACCCTCTGCAGTCATCTCTCCTGGATGCACGCACACACGCACACACACACACCCTCTGCAGTCATCTCTCCTGGATGCACACACACACACACACACACCCCCTCTGCAGTCATCTCTCCTGGATGCGCACACACACACACACACACACACACACACACCCTCTGCAGTCATCTCTCCTGGATGTGCGCGCGCACACACACACACACACACACACACCCTCTGCAGTCATCTCTCCTGGATGCACACACACACATGCACACACACACACACCCTCTGCAGTCATCTCTCCTGGATGCACACACACACACCCACACCCTCTGCAGTCATCTCTCCTGGATGCACACACACACACGCACACACACACCCCCTCTGCAGTCATCTCTCCTGGATGTACACACACACCTTTCACAGTCATCTCTCCTGGTTGGTAACATACACACTCACACACACACCCTCTGCAATCATCTCTCCTGGTTGGTAACATACACACTCACACACACACCCTCTGCAGTCATCTCTGCTGGATGCCTATCTCCTGCTCCATTCGGGGCTGGCTGCTCTCTTGCCTGAATTGCAGCCTGGGATTTTACTACATCAGCACTCTGGGAATTCCCTTCCCCTTTCTTCCGGTAGAATCCTGTTTCCTGGATCCTGTGTCTTTCTGTCTCTTTTGTGGTTTACTCCCTCCTTTTTATGAGGCAGTAGGTTGGTGCAATTATGGCAAAAACCACAATTATCTTTGCACTAATGTATCTGTTAGTAGCTTCCTAATAAAGAGTGCACCAGAAAATTAAAGTTTAAGACATTTCATGTTTAAAATTATCTTTATTTTTATTTCGTACTTAATTGACATTTGGCTGGATATAGAATTATGGACTGGAAATTCTTTTTTCTCAAAATTTTGAAGTCATTACCATATCATCTTCCGGTTTCCCATTACTATTGAAGAAGTAACAGTCTTGATTCTTGTTTTGTATGTAAATTACTTTTTTATTTTTTGAAAACTTTTTAGATGTTTCCTTTATCCACAGTGCGGATAATAATTTGGCCTTATATGAGTCTTTTTAAATTCATCAGGCTAGGTGTTACGTGGTCTTTTCAATATGGAAACATGTCTTTCATTTTTTTAATCTATTTTCTTAAAATTTTTTCTGTAGTAATGTCTTCCTCTCTATTTTATCCTCTATTCTTTCTTTTTGGAAAGGCTACATTTTCAGTGTCAGAGATCATAGACTGGTCCCCTATTAGCTTTTCTCTTTTATTTTCCAACCTGTTGTTCTATTTCCCAGGACATTTCCTTGAGTTAATCTCCCAGACTTGCCACTGAATTGTTAAGAATTTGTCCACCACATTTTAAATTTCTTTTATCAGAAGACATTACATAAAATGCCTGAAAATTCTACCTAAGAGCTACAACTAAAAGCAATTGCCAAATTTTTGCTTTCAACTGAGAAAATGAATTATAAAGTTGTGTACTAAAATGTAAGGAGTGTTTCCAGTAGTAATTGATTAATCTATCATCATCAGAGAAGGTTTTAATGCAATAATTGATATTTCTAGATAATAACTAACTTTAAAAACCAACATAAAAGAAAGGACACAAATGTTGACCTAAAATGTATTTATTCAAAAAACAGTCATTTCTAAATGAAAGGTATTACGCAAGGTTTCATGAAGACAATAGACATGGCAACGAATTTACTTATATAAAGCACTTATATGAAGTGCCTTAGTAAATATGGAAATTAATACATGGTCTTTTCCTCACAGGAACTGAGAGTCCCTATTGATATAAGGGAACCATATTGTTTTTATTCTTGCTTAAACATACATCTGCTATGCCTGTCATTTCTCTAAATTTCCATTAGTTGTAGGAACGCTCCTATTTTTTTAGTACATCAAATCAGCCAGTCAGTCTGGTAAACAAACCTTTGTGTGCCAGGTTTGGCCAGGCTGTAAAAAATATAAAGTTGAGTAACAAGTGGAGGCTGCTTCTGGGGCTCTTGTGTCTTTTAGAGAGTAACAGGTTAGTGTAAAAAGAAAAAGAAAGATACATGCAGTTGCACACAAAGCCCCTAGGTTTAACCATGGACAAGGGGAGATTTAAGACAGAGGAAGCTTCACTTTATCTAGCCCATGCTCAAACTCTACCTAATTCAAAGTTTCTGTCATTTTGTTTATTTGTGTAGCCAGAGGTGGAAGAAGAGGTAGATAGCACTGCTATTTGAAAAGGCACCGTAAAGGGGCCAGGCGCCATGGCTCACGCCTGTAATCCCAACACTTTGGGAGGCCAAGGCAGGTGGATCACTTGAGCCTACGAGTTTGAGACCAGCCCGGTCAACATGGTGAAACCCCGTCTCTACTAAACTTACAAAAAATTAGCCAGGCATGGTGGCATGCGACTGTAATCCCAGCTGCTCAGGAGGCTGAGGCAGGAGAATCACTTGAACCCAGGAGACGGAAGTTGCAGTGAGCCAAGATCACGCCACTGTACTCCAGCCTGGGCAGAAGACCAAAACTCACTCTAAAAGAAGGTGGTGGGGGTGGTGCACTGTAAGGGACCTCCCACTTCTTAGGCACAGGGAAAAAAAAAAAAAGCAAAAAGCTTCCTGTGGGTGAACTTAAAAGCAGCAGGATGGGAAGAAAAAATATTGCAAATTATATCACCTTTAGGAAAACAGTTCTCATCCTTGACCTAGAGTTAGTTTGAACTGCCTGCAAATATCCGTGCATGTGCTTGGGGCAGGTGTGCGCGTGTCTGCATCCAGATATGGCTCTGCGTCAATGAGTTGTCCTCAGGTGGCTGGCAGGCCGCAGGAAGAGCACGCCCCAACTTCGTCTCGCACTAGTAAGGACCTCAAAGCAGAGTCAGTGAGCCAAGACCTTTTCCCCATCACACAACCACATTTGGACAATGAACTGTTAAAAAACATTTTGTCCATGGCTGGCCTGTGTCAGAGGAGCTCGCAAGGACAGATGCTTGGACAAAACCAACTTATATGAGCAAAGAAGGGTGGTTTCCTTCAAGGTGGTAGAGATTTATACTGTGAAGGATAGAAGAAAAGGCTTTCTCTAGGAGACAGAAAAAATAAGGCAACATCTGGGGTGCACCCATGAGGGGGTCTCTGTGAAAATATTAACCTTTCTCTTTTTCCTGTGGATAGAAGTGCAATATTTAAACTCCAGCTTCAATATTACAGTCTTGTTATCCTAAGTGTTTAGTAAAACCTATTACATTTTAGCTTTATGTTGGTGGTGTTGTGGGAAATACAAGGACAGGACAATAAAGAGAAGAGTGTCTTACCCATTGGGGCCATTAGGCCCAGCAAGGTATTCGGGAAGAAAAGTGATCCAAGAGGTCCTACAGGAGAAGCAAAAGGCTGACCACATGGAAGCATCTGGGAAACGCTCCCTGGAGTTGTGGACAACTGAGCTGTGTTTTGAAGGATGAATAAGAGTTAACCAGAAGAAGAATAAGGTAGGGCAGATGGTTTCTGTCATCCCAGGCAACCGACAGGTATTTATAGACTGATCATTTCTCCTTCATCATCAGTCACAGGCCCCTCTCAGTGACTCTAGAACAGATATGCCCTGACGTCGATCCGATGCATTTACCACCTGGCGCCATGTGGGAACTGAATTCTCTCAGTTATTCTCTGTTTGAGTAACTGTGCCAAAACATTACTGAAAACATTACTGGACCCTTGTTTGCATTCATTCATAACTCTGCCTCACATGAGGGCACTGAAATTTGGGAGCAAGCAACTCAGAATATCCTTTCATTAATTGTTTTAGATCATCAGAAATTAAACAATATCTTGTTTAATCTCATTTTATTGTTGCATAAGAGCTATAAGCTTAAAAATTTACAACAATTTTCATGTTTTATGTATTCAAGTAACTAAAATAAAAACAATGTAAGTGTCCTAGAGATCCTCAAGAATGATTTTTTTCTTTAAAAGTGGCTTGTACACTGCTGAAATTGAGAAACACCATGCAAACTGCTTTGGATATTGAAAAGTGATCTCTGCATTGTTCAAGAACTAAAGACTTCCGCAGAAGGCAGGAGCCTCCCTCCCACGACCCAGCTCCTCCCACTGTAGAGCCTCTGGGTCGGGATCATCTTCTCTTCTTCTGTCTCAGCTTACACTCCATGATTGTTAGTTCTGTGTGGTTCCACACAGAAGAAGAAGAAGAAAAAGAATGGCAGAGGAGGAAATGCAGAGGGCCCTGCCACACCCCCTGAGACTTTTACTGTCTGTGATGATGGAGGCTGAATCCCTAGAATGTACCCAGTTATCATCATTGTGCCAAATCCCCAGAGTAAAAACCTTAGGCTTTGGTGATTTACACAGTATTACATGACTGCCTAAAAAAAAAAAAAAAGAGCATCACTAATCCAAACTTGGATAATTATATTGTACCATAATAGGCATATAAATCTAGAGGGAAGATGAGTATTTTTAGAGTTGGGTGCCATGAATTCAACTCCAGACTCTGCCTTTTACCAGCTGTGTGTTTGGGACTTCTGAATCTCAGTTTCCTCATCTATAAGGTAGGATAATAACATTGGCCATATCTGTTTTCAAGGATTTTTAAGAGAGTTACATGAGACAAAAAGTGTAAAAAAAATGCTTGGCAGGTTGTCAAGTGCTCCACGCATTTGCATGTATAGGTAACAAAAGGCAGATCTAGGAGAGTGGCCAGGGCACTCAAGCTAGGTACCTCCTCAGGCCTGACCCACATCCTCTCACCATCCCCAGTACCCTGGCTGGGCAACACTGGGCTGATGCTGCTGACTCCTCGGTGTAACTCATCTGCACGTCTCAGTAGACTAGGATGATGCAGGAGCAGCTGAAGCATTTTCAAATGCACATCCCTCCTCAAATCCAATCTGAACTGGCCACCTAATTCTTTTGTTGTCTTTCAGCTTGGAGCACACTAGGAATGGCAATTATGAAATTTTAGAAGATTCTTTGGCATCATTAGAATGAAATTCATCTTCTGAACAAATAAGACTTGCTAGCTTTTGCATACAAATAAAACCCACACAAAAGCCTGGGATAACTTCCATTTTCCTCCTTGGCAGAGTTTCTGTCCTCTAGAAATAAAAGTGATTCTAAAAGGCAGCATGTTTTGCAACTCTGTTCTTCTTCGTTAGAAATAGACTGAGCCCTATAGAGGGGATATATGGGGAAAATGTTATGTTGAGAATTAGCAGTGCTTGTCAAAATAATAACAGCCACTTATTCAATGCCTACTACATGCTAGATGCTGTTTCTGTTATGTCATTAAATCCTCACAATAGTTCTAAGAAAGGTACGGCCATCCCCGCTTTCTTTATTAAAAAAAAAAAAACGCGGTATGAAGAGGTGAATCCTCTTATCCACAGAGACTCAGCAGTGAGACTGAATACACACTCTGGTGTGACTCCAAGACCGTGCTCTTTTCAAAACACAAATTGAAACTTCCCTCAAAAAAAAAAAGCGGGGAGGAAAATACTTGGCATTTCCCACCCTCAGGGTCATGGGGTTCTTAGTTGGAAAGGTGAGGAGGCTGGGTTTGCTGTGAGGCTACCTGCAGAGACCAAGCTTATAAGAGCTGGCAGATGAGGCTTTTTTTTTTTTTTTTTTTTTGAGACAGAGTCTCGCTCTGTCCCCCAGGCTAGAGTGCAGTGGCGCGATCTCGGCTCACTGCAACCTCTGCCTCCCGGGTTCACTCCATTCTCCTGCCTCAGCCTCCCTTGCAGCTGGAACTACAGGTGCCCGCCACTACGCCTGGCTATTTTTTTTGTATATTTTTAGTAGAGATGGGGTTTCACTGTGTTAGCCAGGATGGTCTCGATCTCCTGACCTCATGATCCGCTCGCCTCGGCCTCCCAAAGTGCTGGGATTTTACAGGCATGAGCCACTGCGCCCGGCTAGATGAGGTTTCTTTCACAATGATTTCTATGCATAGGAAAGCACTGTAGAGCTTGAGAGGGAATGACGGAAAGCAGCTCCAGCTTTTAGAGATGAGGTGCATGCACTGACAGAAAGGAGGGCACCTGCTATTGTCACCCCAAGCATAGGCAGAGCCCGGCCTCAGCAAAGTGTCAGAGTTGGCCGAAGTAGTCTCTCTCACCTGGGTAGTGTGCTCAGTAAAAGGTACTCTGGACTTGGAGCAAGGCAGACTCAAACTCCAGCTCCACTATTTATTAGCTTTGTGACTTGGGAAAGACACTGCATGTCTCTGAGCCTTAACAGGGTTACTGGGGCAATTAAGTGAATTATCAGCCTTATCATGGACTCCATCTCACGCAGGTGTTCGAGGCAGATGCACCACCACACTGCAAGGAGGAACTCCTTGACTGAACCCACCCTGCCCCTGAGTTGACCCCAGGAAGCTGTCAGTAGAGTGCACAGGACACTGCATGGTTAAAACATTCCCCAAACACCCATTAATTCATTCTATCTCCACTGGATCAAGGGTTTCATATTTTGGTGAGGTATCACTGAAACCCATGCTCTGGTAAAATAATTTAGAATGGCAAATAACAAGCAGCTAATCTGTGTTTTCCTATAAAGTGTAAATTAGAAACGATAAAACTGTTAGGAGACACCTAAGTCATTTTGACTAAGGACACTCTGATGCATTTGTCAACTTTACAATCTTTTAAAAATGGGAAACTTGCAATTTTGAGCAAGTCGTTTAGGAGACAGAACTGATTCCTCATCTTAAGCATTTCATAGCTTTTCTATTTGTAGAATTGAAAATACCACATAAAGAGAAAGGTCACATAGTTCAAGGTGTTTGAATATACAATCCAAATAACCAGTGATTTGGGAAAAGACAGTAAATCTCTCACACACATGAAATGAAACTTTAAAGTAATGGAACGGTTTCCAAGGACATCCTTCATAGACCCAATTTGAACAGTGGACACCAGCTGTCTGGACAAGTTTTCACATACAAGAATGCACTGCTCAGTGAAGTAAGGATGTAGCTGTGACTATCTGTACCCCTCCACTCCCTTTTCCCGTGGCTGAGATTTCTGACAATCCAGTGTTGGCCAGCCCTACCCCATTCTCCAGAATATGCTAGACCAAAGAGGACAGACTTGGGCAGTTGTGACCATTCACTGTTAATCCAGCCCAGTCTTCATGCCCCACATCAGGTGATGAGAAAATAGCTTTGTTAATTATGTCATTGTTTTTGTTTGAACTCTTAGCTCAACATAATTTAAACTTACAGAAAAGTGGTAAAATTCTACAAAATAGTACATTTTGCCCAGCTTGCGCTAATGTTAACATCTTACATAACCATATTAAAATTATAAACCCAGGAAATCAATGTTGCTACAATGCTGTTAACTGGACTACAGACTAATATTTTGCAATTGCAAACAATGTTGCAGTGAAGAAACTGGTGCATATGCATTTTCCTAATATTGAAATAGCTCAGGGTAGATTCCTAGAAGTGAGACTGCTGGATCAAAAGGTAACTGCATAGATAGTCTGAAGGGTTTATTGCCAGATTCTCCTCCAGATGAGTGAAACCAGTTTGTGCGCCCACTAGCAACTGTGTGATAGCACCTGTTTCTATACAGTCTTGCTAACAGGTTGTATTATTAGACTTTTAATCTTTGCTAATCTGATAGGTGAGAAATGGTATCTTGTGGTATTTTAATTTCCATTTCTCTCATGATGAGTGATCTTGAACATTTTCCATTTGTTTGAGGCCCATCCAATTTGCTTTATTAGCTATCCCAAGGAAAGGCACAAAAGACAACCTTGGTCAAAATGTCCATCCACTCAGCTAGGTGCAGGCAGAGAATGAAGGTCACAGAGTCTCTGGTACAAAGGCTACAGACATAGGCAGCCACTGTCCCTCTGCTGGCTCTTTCTCAGTGCCCTGGCAACATCCCACTCTGCTCACAGACACCAGGGGCTGTTCTCTACCCAGAAAACTGAACCTGTAGAAAGAGCATGGGCTGAAAATCAGATGAACCTGGTACTATTTCCTAGCTATATCTTTTTGGGCTAATTACTTCAACTCTCTGAGTCTCAGTTTCCTTATTTTTCAAATGGGCATAGATAAAATCTATTTCACAGACCCGTCATAATGATTAAATGAGTCAATGGACACAAAGCTTCTCCTTAGTGACTGACAAGCAAGAGATCCTCAGTAAATGTTAATTCTCCTGAGTTCCCTTCTCCTCTCACACAGCCATGGAATTGCCCTGCTTTCTGTAGTGTCCCTCACCTACAAATACCCGTATCTGGTGCAAAGGGTGCTCATCAAAGAGGCCCAAACCCAGACATTTCTCCTTTGACCCATGAAGCTGGCAAACAGGATGGCTCTTAGAGACTACAATTTAGATACCATGTCTGGATCAGAAAAACAACTGGAGTGGATAGAGGATATGGTTGCCAGATTCAGCAAATCAAAATACAGAAAGCCCAGTTAAATCTGAATTTTAGACTCTATGTATAAAAAATTACTCAGGGAAGATGCTCTCCTAAATTTAGGAACCTCACAATACTATTTTAAGTGCATTCTTAAAATATGGTTATTTGATGAGCCTAAATTAGATGAATAAATACAAGACACTTAAATTAGAATTTCAGATAAGCAATAAATTTTTTGGTATACATATGTCCCACATATTACATAGGACATAAAAATTATACTAAAATATTTTTAGTTATCTGAAATTCAACTTTAACTGGGAATTCTGTATTTTGTCTGGTGACCATGTTAGGAGACTTCCTCATCTCTCTGAAAATCACCTGCTTACTTCCCCCACATGCAAAGGAGGTATCCATTGTCCACTCTCTGCAGACCGCAGGACTAGCTGGTGTCAAAGGATACAGAAGTAAATTACACAGGTGATCAAACCAAATAAAGAGAAATTTTCATGGATAAAATGACTAGAAGTTATATCTCTCAGGACACTTTCAATTGCAAATGACAGAAACCCACCTCATGCTAGTGTATACAAAAGATGGAATGTATTTCCCACATAGCTGAAAATGCAAGGGATACAGCTGACTTACGTGTGTCAAGATGAAAGGGTTCAATGATGGCATTAAGAAAATCCCTATTCTCCACCTCTCAGCTTCGCTTTTCTGTCTTGATTTATTCTCAGGCACACTTTCCCCACATGGTGGCAACCAGCAATTTCAGCTTATGTCATCGTTACAACCAATGATCCTAGGAAGAAAAAGAACTCTGCCTCTCTCCTGTTTGTCTTTGCAAAAGGCTCGGAAAAGACTCTATCTTAGTCAATTTTCTGTTGCTGTAACAGCATACCACTGACTGGGTGATTTATTTAAAATATATGTATATATATTTTACAGCCCCGAAGACTAGGTAGGATATCCAAGGTCAAGGGGTCACATCTGGTGAGGGTCTTCTGACTGCATCTTAATATGGCAGAAGGCAACACATGGCGAGGGAGTAAGAGCATGTCAGCTCAAGTCTCTCTTCCTCTTCTTATAAAGCCACCAATCCCCATCATGGGGGCCTACCCTGATGACTTTATCTAATCCTAATTACCTCTCCAAAATCCCACCTCCATACACCATCAACATATGAATTTGGCGATTAAGTTTCCAACACATGAAACTGGGGGGACACATTCAAATCGTAGCAGACTCAAGAGCCTTGATCATTGCAGTCTCCTGTGACTGACAAGTGGAAGTATTAGCCCCAGCAGAGCCTATGAATTGGTTTTCCAAAAGAAAGATAAAAGAGACATGGTCTTGTCCACCAAAAGAACTGGCGAAAAGAAAACATGCATGGGGATGCAAAATCTACAATGACTGTATTGCTCAATAAAGTTTGTTAGTCAGTCAAATATTCAATAACAAAAGAGATTCTTACTGTTACTCAATCATGAATAGTAGAAGGAAGAAATCAAAGGAAGGATGTAATGGATGACTAACATGTGGCCTACAATTATCTAAATAAAATACTTAGTAAGTGTACGTATGGGGGCAAGGAAATAATGAAATAAAGTAACATTTACCACCCTTTATCAGTCTATCTGATATAGGGATAAAATTGACAGGGGAAACATCTCCAAAACTTATTGGGCATTAGTAGAAAACAAAGTAATCTCAAAGTTCCACCAAGGCTACTAACGATAACTAAACACATATAACTGTCAAACAGAATGAGGGGGCTGAAGTCAGATTCCTCACCAAGTGAGAAAGCATTTATATGCCTGTCTAAACTTTTTCATAAGATGGCCTGACTCCCACAAATGCATGGCTTTATAGATGTCAGCTTTTCTAAAGCTGCCTTCTCCTGATCTAATAGTTGTATCCTAGGGAGATTTTTCTGAATGGAAGAATTCAATAATTATTAAATGTTGCAAGCTTGAAATTACTTGCTTTAATGGAAACAACATTTCCGGTGACCAGTCAGCCCTGAAATCAAACAAATAGTTCAAAATGATGGCTAGACATGGAGGCCAGGAAGCTAGTGAAGGGAATCTTTTGTATCTCAAAGGACATACTAATGGGAATTCATGGTAGAATCCAGGTAAGTGATTGCCAAGGTTTGATCCACAGATACCTCTTTCAAAAGAGCAGAGAAAATGCCTTGTGGCTTTTGTGAAGGGAGCATTGCACAGAGAGAACATGTGGTGCAGAAGGCAGCAGTTAAGGGCACAGAAAAATGTGGGAACCCCGGGGTTCATTCCAGTTCTGTATCCTAAATCCTTCTCCCAAGTCTTACAGGGTTTCTCTGCCAATGAGAATAGATTTCCTTTAGTAGCATTTGGTATATGTGATCTCAAATACCAGGCCAACAGTAAGGAAATGTTTCTCAAGCTAACTGCTTATAAAAATACAGTACAGAAAATATTATACTTTATAATTAGAAGAAATAGTCATGTGTTTATAACACGGAATATAGGAAAAAACTGAGTGAAATCACATTTCAAGGTATCTCAGCATATTATTCAAGGAAACATTTTTCCCCCTTGTGAAACTTGAATTCCTATATAAAGAACAAAATTGCCTTCCTCTTGTTTGTATTTCTCTGAAGATCTCATTTCACTTTTCCTGGGTCCTAGAGAAGGATGACATTTTAGACATAAAATCACAAACTACCCTCACTCTTTTGTTTTGGGTTTTTGGTTTGTTTGTTTGTTTTGAGGCGGAGTCTTGCTCTGTCACCCAGGCTAGAGTACAGTGGCACAATCTCGGCTCACTGCAGCCTCCACCTCCAGGGTCCAAGCAATTCTTGAGCCTCAGCCTCATGAGTAGCTGGGAGGCACCACCACACCCAGCTAATTTTTGCCTTTTTTTAGTAGAGATGGGGTTTCACCATGGTGGCCAGGCTGGTCTTGAACTCCTGACCTCAAGCAATCTGCTCACCTCAGCCTCCCAAACTGCTGGGATTATAGGAATGAGCCACTGCACCCAGTCACAAACTACCTTCACTCTAAATCTAAGAGCAAAAACAAGAAACAACCAACAAAACTCAAACTAAGGAAATGTTGATCAAAGACAGGTAACCAAAGAATCAACATTGAACTTCAATAATCCCTGGAGAACCTCACGTGGACCAGCCTCTGCATGGAGTCACAGTCAAAGGAAATGTAAAGTGGATCACAGTGGCATTAAGGAAAAATGCAGGTCTTTAAGAGGGGAGAAGAGCATCTTCTTTACACATCTGAGCACCCACAAAACTTCCCAAAAATAGCTTCAGATACTGTTTCCTCTTCCCCCACCCCACATGCATGCAGGTCCCACACCCCAACACTCCCCTCTCCTAGTCCCTTCTTTCTTCATATGTATACAGCAAGTCATTCTGATGCCCAGCCCATGCACATTCCTGGGCCTGCCTTTCCTAACAATTGGTCACGTTTCTCCAATCCAAGAGAGCTGAAGGAGCCAGAAGTTTCATACCTCCCTTATCTACCTTGACTCCCCCACTCAGAAGCCACTAGGGCCTCCTTTGCTGAGTAGTTCTTCTGTTGCTCTGACTGTTTTCCTTATGAGAGAATCTTAGGCAGCTTTTCCCTTCATTACACACTCAGGATCCCGCTCGATTCCCCCAGAAGTGAACAAGGGGGAGAAAGTCGAGAAGCAAAACTCTGGGAAACAATTCACAGACTCCCCTTGAAAAAAATGGTGGTGAGTTGCAGGAAATGGGATAAACAGTGCAGGTGAAACTACATGGAATGTCCCTGTGGAACAGAAACTCCTCTGGTCCCTCTGGATGGAAATCTGTAGGGAAATCTACCATGATGTTGCTCCCTAGATGCAAGAAAGGTAGGGGTGAGCCCAGGAGATATGACTTAACGCAAAAAAATTACACTGTTGGCATGTACACTCATGTGAATAGCAGCATTATTCATAATAGCCAAAAATCAGAGGCAACCCAAGTCCATCGACAGATGATGGATAAACAAAATACGGCACATCCACACAACGGAATATTAGTGAGCCTTAAAAGAGAAGGAATTCATGACACATGCCATAACATATGCATCAACCTTGAAGACATTATGCTAAGTGAAAGAAGCCAATCACTAAAAGATAAATACTGTAGTCATTATTCCATTCCTATGAGGTACTGAGAGTAATCAAAATTAGAGAATGGAATGGTGATTGTCTGGAGCTGAAGGCAGAAGGAATTGGGAGTTGTTGAATGGTCACAGTTTCAGCTTCACAAGATGGAAACAGTTCTGGAGATTGGTTGCACAACAATGTGAATAGAGAAGTCCTCGCTTAACCTCATCAATAGGTTCTTGGGAACTGCAACTTTAAGGGAAACTATGTATAACAAAGCCATTTTTTCCTTATCCCTGTTTTAAGGATGTTGAAGGAAACGACATTATTTGAGGACCTTCTGTATGTCTTTTGCTTAAAGTCGCAGTGTCTAAGAGCCTGTCTTTTACTAAAGTCAGTTTCCAAGAACCTACCAAGGACATTAAGTAAGGACTTACTATATGCTCAACATCACTAAACTTATAACACTTAAAAATGATTAAGATGGCAAATGTTATGTTATCTCTATTTTACCACAATTAAAGTGTTTTTTTTTTAATTCTCACTTTAAAAAAACCCAACATGATCAGGAAGACATAAAGGATATGACAGTATTAACAATTGCATTGACTGGGGAGAAGCCAGAGGCAGATAGACAAATTATGAAGCTAATGTAGAAGTTCAGTGGAGAGTCTGTTTTTACACACTATATAAATATCAAAATATCACATGTAGCCCCAAAATATTTATATCTGTTAGGTATCAATAAAAAATTTAAAAAATATATTAAAAAGTTCAGGGGAATCATAGCAGAGGCACAGCCCCCAAGATGAAAGTGGGAAGGACTCCGTGCTGCACTGCCTGCCTCCTCTGTGGCCCAGCACCTGCAGGGAGGATCCAGCTGAGAAGCTTCTGTCCCTCTGAAGGGCTGATAGGTCGAGTGTAGACACACTGCACACTCGATCACACCTGCTGGCCCAACTGATCACAGAGACCAGAAAATCGACATCGTCCCCAGGTGTAAATTGTCGTCCTGCTGAGCAAGCAAGGAGTGAGCAAAACTCAGGTCAGAGAACTAGCAAGTCCCTCAGCCACTTGGATGAGAGCCTGAGTACTAGTTCCTTAACTCCCTTAGCATCAGTGGGCCTGCAGTTTAACCACTAAATTGACCAGAGTGCCCCTTTCACATAACCAATTTCAGAAATTTATTTCTCATAGTTCTGATCATTCCACCCACACCCATACTGCAGGCTGTGGGTGGATTCCTACTGATCATTCCACCCACAGCCTGCAATATCAGTGAAGCTCAGTGCCAATCCCAAAATCCCACCAGAAACACAGAGCAGTGAGGCAGTCCAGACACTGCCAATTATTTGTAAACTGAAATGTCTGGGTTCCCTTGAGGCTGCCTCTGCCCCTCCACTCATGTAATAAAGACACAAATCTAATCACAAGGACCTTGAAGAACAATGTAGGATTATAGTAGGCTTTTGAAGGAACTTAAAGAGAAATTACTCCCATAGGACCCATGGCAAGATTTCTTGAAAGTCTTTTTTGAAGATATCCCTTTTCCCCAAGAAGTCCAAGAACATGGTGCAGCACATTCTGTTCCTGATGAGAGCTTTCTTCCTTGTTACAGATGGCCACCTTCTCTCTGAGTCCTCTCACGGCACAGAGAAAGAAAGAGAATGCTCTCGGAAGTCTCTCTTCTTGTGAAGACACTAATGCGGTCATGAGGATCCCACCTTCGTGACCTTATTTAACCCTAATTCCCTCCCAAAGGCCTCATCTCCAACTACCATTGTATTGAGGGTTAGAGCTCCAACATATGAATTTTGGTGGGACACAAACATTTAGTCCATAAAGTTCTTAATATATTTAATCCACAAAGTGGCAAAAACTATCTTTGTCATCAAAAAAGTTCTGTTTTGAACAGATAAGAATCATTGTAGCATTTTCGATTCTTTAAAATGCTTCCAGTTGAAGATTTTAAAAAGGAGAAAAAACTATTTTTAAAGAACTGCATGATTACTATGAGTCCAAAAACCCAGCCACTGAAGGCAATCAGTGGGTGTACCCTGAGGAAAAGACCTCAACGTCTGCCTTGTCCTGTCCTCCCACAGCTTGGTGTTCTGCACTTCCTTGGATCTGTGAGTCTCTCCTGTGTTTTCTACTAAATCTTCCCTTTTTTTTAAGTTAGCTAGAAGCAGTTTTTGTTGTTTGCAACCAAAAGAGTCTTAACAGACACAGAGTTTCTTGTTCAACTCCATTAAGGCTATTAAACCGAAGTTGTGTGATATTATTAACATTCCATTGTGATCTCAACTTCTTCGTCTGTAAAATGCTAAGTGATTTCCAAGATGCCTTCCAATTCTGACAACCTATGATTTTTTGAGAGCTCAGAATGAGCCAATGTATATATTTGTTTAAAGTCACTCCACTGATCAATATTGATGAAGCTCAGTGCCAATCCCAAAATCCCACCAGAAACACAGAGCAGTGAGGCAGTCCAGACACTTCCAATTATTTGTAAACTGAAATGTCTGGGTTTCCTTGAGGCTGCCTCTGCCTCTTGATTCATGTAATAAAGACACAAATCTAACTCCAAGGACCTTGAAGGCCAATATAGAACTATAGTAGGTTTTTGAAGGAACTTAAAGAGAAGTTATTCCCATAGGACTCATGGCAAAATTTCTTGAAAGTCTTTTTTGGACATATCCCTTTTCCCCAAAATTTGATAAGATAAAGCAGCTATTCCACCTCTCACTCTCCATGCAGTGTCTTCATTGCCAAATACTCTCCAATTTTCTTCCCTTCTCTGTGTGATGCACCCCCCTTGCCCATGCACCCAAGCCATTTCCTCCAAATCCTTACATGTGATTAGGATTTTCCCCAGCATGCCCTAAGTCCATTGGTCATCTACTTGCTGCTCTGATTTTAGTGCAAAATGCAGCTTCCTAGAATTGTGGCAAATAGATTGCATAGTCGTTCAACAAATATTTACTGAGCTCTTACCATATCCCTATAACTGGGAGGAAGAGGGTGCCACTGGGAAAATGCAAGATGCATATCCCATTCCAATTCCAGCCTCATTCCATATTTTATTTCTAAAGCTTAATGAGTAGAAATACATACACACATACATATACACATACACTACTCCAGTTGGCAGTTAAAATGTCCTCATTTAACGTAAGCTGCACATGACCCCAGTGGGATGCTGGTGTCACAGCCTCAGCACAAATGCGACAGCTGTGTCATGCTAGACCAAAGAGGGAAAGGGCCACCACCATTTGCGTGTTGCTGGTGCTATCTGGAGTGCCTTCCTTGGCTGCCTGGAGGGAGATGCTGCTGTAACTTTTTCTAAACAGAGCTCTGGGGCACTGCTGATAGGTGACTTCAGCCTCCTGGCTTATGCAGTGCAACTGACCCATGTTTTGTTGGAAGAATAACTACAGAAATGGCCTTATGGGGCAGCAAAGACACTTCTTCAGGAGGACTCAAGTTAAATTATTTAATGAAATCTCTTGCACTTAGGAAGGAACAGAGCTCACATAATTGAACCTCAAGTCTGAACACTTACATTATTCTCCTCCGAGAGGCAAATTGAGTTATTCTAAATGAAACTGATAGACTTTTTGTAAAGTGACCTCTAGTTTTCTATCCTTGGCAGCCATACTAATAAGCCACCATCATCTCATGCCTCTTAACTAGCACCTACACAGCCATGCGTTCTCCCCTCTTCTCCATTCTCCACATTTTAAGACAAAATTAAAATTGATCATATCATCTTTATGCTTATAACCCTTGAACAACTGCCCTTATACATGTAGGATATAGACAAGAACTTGTCACGTGACCCACCAGTGCCTGCATAGTCTGCCTAGTCATCTCCCAGCCTCACTCAGGCCCCACTGTTGCCTGTAGAGCTACTCCAGCCTTGTCTCTGTTCCGTCAGTGCCCCAGCTTCCTCTTCCCAGGGCTTTTGGATGTGTTATTTCCTCTGCTGAGAACATACCATCATCTGTCCTTTAACTAGTTAACTCATATTCTTCCTTCAATCTCAATTTGAATCTCAGTTCCTATGGGAAGAATTCTTATTGCATATTCTTATACCAACCCTGATCATAAATAAAATGTTCCATTTATTTTTGCAGTTCTTTGATCAAAGTCAGTCTTTCCCATTACAGTATAAATTGATAAGAGCAAAGGCTGGGACTTTGTTTTATTACTTACTTTTATTTTCCCACTAACTGGTACAAGACAAGAGAAAGGAAGGGGAGGGAAGGGAAGGGAAGGGAAGGGAAGGGAAGGGAAGGGAAGGGAAGGGAAGGAGAGAGGGAAGGAGAGGGAGAGAGGGAGGGAAGGAAAGAGAGGGAGAGAGGGAGGGAAGGAAGGAGAGGGAGGGAGGAGGAAGGGAGGGAGGGAGGAAGGAAGGAAGGAAGGAAGGAAGGAAGGAAGGAAGGGAGGGAGGGAGGGAGGGAGGGAGGGAGGAAGGGAGGGAGGGAGGGAGGGAGGGAGGGAGGGAGGAAGGGAGGGAGGGAGGGAGGGAGGGAGGGAGGGAGGGAGGGAGGAAGGGAGGGAGGGAGGGAGGGAGGGAGGGAGGGAGGGAGGAAGGAAGGAAGGAAGGGAGGGAGGGAGGGAGGAAGGAAGGAAGGAAGGAAGGAAGGGAGGGAGGGAGGGAGGGAGGGAGGGAGGGAGGGAGGAAGGGAGGAAGGAAGGGAGGGAGGGGGAGGGAAGGGGGAAGGGGAGAGGAAGGGAGGGGAGGGGAGGGGAGAGGGGAAGGGGAGGGAAAGGGAAGGAAGGGAAGCAAGGGAAGGAAAACCCTGACTTGAGAAGTGGCTTCTGGGCATCTGACTGGAGTGACAGGGTGGATGTGCTGCCATCCCCTGAAACAGACAAGACCATAGGATCACCATCTCGGGAAGATGATGAGCTCAGTTTACGACTTGTTGTGGAACATCCCAGTGGTGGGGTTCCACAGGACTTTTTTGTCTATCTGAAGCTCAGGGGAACAGGCAAAAACTGAAATATAAATGCCCGTCTGCCACTGTTACATGAGTGGATACAATTGCACAATAACAACAAAAAAAAGAGCAGAGAAAGAAAAGCAGTAGACCAGAGGGAAGCTTGCAAAGAGCCCATACTTCCGTTCTGGGTGAAGACTGAACAAGCCTTTAGGAAGACAGAGACAGAATGTTCAGGATTACAAAGGTCCAGAGAATAAGGTCAAAGACACCAAGGAATCACTTCCAGAAGGAGGAAAGGGTCAATACTGTCCAAGGTGGCTGAGAGGCCCAGGATGGTGTGGATGCAGATGTGTTCAATGGAGTGACTTTGGTAAGGGCAGTTTCAGACTATGGGGATTGAGAGTGAATGTGCAGACAGGAAGGGGAAGCTGTAATTATAGGGAATTCTTTGGAAGCTTGGCTTAGAAGAGCAGAAGGAAGGTGATAAGAAGAAGGGAGTGGAAGAGGATGGAAATGATTTCGGCATTTTTATAGGCTGAGTTGGAACAAACCAGCAAAAGAGGGAGTGGGTACAAGTGACAGGAAAGGGGATGGTAGACACAAGGAAGATCTGAAGATGGTGGAAAGATTGGCATGAAAGGACAAACCACTGTTAATTTCCAGAGCCTGGCACTGCATCTGGCACCCAGGAGATGATCAATAAATATTGAGTGAATGAATGACAAATGAATAAACAATGGATAGAAATAAGTGATGAGGCTGGCTTTGAGAAAGACTTTCTTTTCCCAGGCTAGAAACAACGCAAAATAGGTGATGGTATAAGTAAATTGCTACGGATTATGACTAGTGTTGCAGCAAAAGCTTCCATTTTATTTGTTTTTTAATGCCATGCTCACGAGTTTAATCAGCTGTTTTGTTTTTGTTTTTCAGAACAAAGCTGATAGACTTACAAATGACTTTGTTAAGTGAATTGGTGGTGGTATGGGGTGATAACTAAGATTAAACAATTTGTTTACAAAAAGCTTCCATTTTGAATAAGGACTTACCTCATTAGCTATTTGGAGGTGAAAAGTGTTGAGAGATTGAGGTGTTTGTCACATGGTGACCCCAAATGAGATCCCCCTGATTTTTCCTGGCAGCTGTCCCTTGGCCATCATGGATGCCACTGAATAAACCAGAGGTAGCAGTGTGGGGAAATCTGGTCTTTGAAGTCAGGAAGACTCAGGTTTAATCCTACTTAACTTACTCATTTGACTTGGGGAAAATCACCTAAACTCTCTGTATCTGAATCTATTCTCTATAGAATGGTGCTAAAAATTGTTCTTTACTCATGGGATTTTTTGAGAATGAGCAAAGTGTCTACCACGGGAATGCTCAAAACTTGAAGATGATATGGTCGCTGTTATTGCTTGTGCCATTGATGTTGTTGTTATTTTACAGCTGAGAAGTAAACCCTCCTGCATTTAAATATTTTATTTATCAGAAAACTGAGACTATTTTATAAAATGACTGTCCCTGGGTGTGCTAGCACAGTGTCCTATCAACAAATTAAGAAGCCAGCTGGCAACTTCTTGAAACCATCAAACACGCATAAAGTAGTCCGATACACAGTCAGAGAAGACATGAAGGACAGAAAGCCCAGGCTCCACATTGACAGGTAGCCAATTGGGTGAAAAAGACACTTATGCAAAAGAAACAACCGAGCAAAGTAGTCAACTGCTGTGGGTGTGGGGCCAACAATTGGTGCAGTGTGTCCCATTAACCCAGACAGTACCTGTCCATATGGGGATTTGGGTTCCATGCACACAGGTTGTGGCAGTCAGGAAAAGCGCTAGAGCAGCCCTGAGCCAACATCCTGAGAAACGCTTTGCTGAGGTCACCATGGGAGGACAGTGTCCAATGCAGAAACCACAGCGCAGGAGCAGAACTAAAAAGAGGAGTCAAAGTTGAGAGTCAGGGCAGAGGCAGAAGAGGACCTGCTCATAAGCAAAGTAGGCAAAGCTGGGGTGATTGCAGAAGACTGTGCTCGGGTGTTTCAAGTTTGCCCTCAGTTTTCATGCATGTGAGACAAAGGGTCAAGACAGATCCCAGGATAGATCCTAAGGCCAGTCACTGTGCATGGAAACCACACATTTAGAATTTGGGGCTCTATCCAGTTTTTCTTCTGTGAATTCCTTTTTGGTTTTTTTGTTTGTTTGTTTGTTTGTTTTACTATTAATTTCCTGCCATTTGTTTTTCAATTCCTAAGTTTAACAAAGTCCTTTGGGGAAGCAGTCAGCACAAAAATGCCTATATTCCAGTTATTTTCATTTTGTCATGTTAGATGGACATATCTTTGAAATTACTTTAAAAACCCTCCTAAAACAAGTCAGAGCACAAGTAGTTAAATAATATATATTTTGAAATGGATAGCTATGCATATTTTCCAACTTATTTCACATTTGCCACATTTTTTCTCATCTTTTTTTTTTTTTTTTTTTTTTTTTTGAGATAGAGTCTCACTCTGTCACAAAGGCTGGAGTGCAGTGATGCAATCTCCAGCTCACTGCACCCTTCACCTCTCGAGTTCAAGTGATTCTTCCACCCCAGCCTCCTGAGTAGCTGGGATTACAGGCACGTGCCACCATTCCAAGCTAATTTTTGCTTTTTTGGTAGAGATGGGGTTTCACCATTTTGGTGAGGCTGGTCTCAAACTCCTGATCTCAAGTGATCCACCCGCCTTGGCCTCCCGAAGTGCTGGGATTACAGGCATGAGCTACCCTGCCCAGCCCTAATTCATTCTTATCTTCTTGTTTCTGTCACCTCTATTCCAGAGAGTCCTGATCAATTCTGTAACCACGCCAAATTTCTTTTGGAATGAGCTGGAAACTGAGGCTCAGAGAACAAGCATCAATGCCAATACTCTGGTTACTGCTGTTGCTGTAATGAAGTGCCTGTTGTTTATTACAACCCAGAAACCATGTGCCTTTCCCAGCTTCCATGAATCTGTAGCAGACTAACTTGCAACCATACAAGTAGGGAAAACTTCAGATCTTTCACAGTTCTTGACAAGATCATGTTTAATAATAATTCCCCACTCTTCTCACCAGTAGCCAAGAAAGTTCTTACCACAAAGCAGGGTCTCAGTAATAACAGGAATGTCAAGAAATAATGAGTAATCAATTCTCAGCTTACAAATTTGGGGCCATACTACTGGTAAACATCAAAAACTCAGCCTCTTGAGATAATCAAAATCTTTTCAATTGAATCTCTAAATGACCATTAGTCAATGACTTACATTAGTATTGAATATTCAATTATTATTTGTCAATTAAAAATAAAATAAAACTAGTTTTTAAAAAACTAGTATTGAGTTTGTATACTGTAGTACAGGTTGACAGCATGAATTCTGAGCTCAAACTGCCTGGGTTCAATTCCTAGCTCCCCAGTTCCTAGCTGCATGACTTTGGGCACGTTTTATAACCCCCTTGGTTCTTCAGTCTCCTTGTTGGGGGATGGTTTATAAACCCCTTGGTTCTTCAGTCTCCTTGGTAAAATGAGGACAATAACAGCACTTACCTCATGGTCTTGTTGCAAGAATTAAATAATTTAGATAAAGCACTTACAACAATGTCAAGCATATATGTAATATTATTATTGCACAGTGTCTATTCCAATGGGTCCAAACTACTTTTAAAACTCCAGCTTTATTAGATCTGCTGATTGCAGGCAGTTTCTTGAGATGGATTGAAACATTTAACCATCAGAAATGATGGGTGCTTGTCCGAGGACAAACCTGTGCAATTGCATTGTAGACATCTGGTGCTCAGTGAAGAAGGGAAACCCCTGCCAAAACTTTCATGGAATATGGTGATCACTTCAGCATTAAAATACTTGTTTGTGAGGCAGTTATTTGGGGCCTACATTGTTTTTAGAATCCTTCATTGTTTGATAAGGCAATATTAACTCATAAATGTCAGCAAGTCTGTAACTGCTCAAGGAAGCTTCCAAGGCTCAGGGGTCTCTTCCTGACTCATGACACACAGATCATGAGGGGAAGAGGGAAAAGGTCTAAACAAGCAACCTGTCAAGGATAGAGGATGCTCTTGACCTCAGAGCAGCAGTGGAACTTAATATCATACTGATATGCCAATATGAGTTTATCAGCAACGAATGAGAGGGGAGCAAGTGATTGTAAATCTGAATCATCAGCTATCTACTCTATTCAGATTCACTAAACTAATGTCAAGGTTTCAATTCATTTTATGTAATAAAACCTTAGCCAAGAATGCAATATTAGTCAACAAAAAAAGGAGGAGAGTAACCTTTTTTGAGCACCTACAATGTGTCCTTAATGTGCGTTATCTCAACCTCGTAAAATGGGCCTTAGTCCCCTTTGTACAGTTGAGAAAATGGAGGCTTCAGAGAGGTTAAGTAACTTGACCGTGGTCACAGAGCAAGTAAGTGGTGAAGCCAGACTCTGAACCAAGGTCTGACCTCCAAGGCCTGTGCTCCTTTTCTGCTACCCTTAAGCACCCCAGCCCTGGAGGTCCATCCCATCAGACTATGAGCATCTTATAAGCAAGAGCTGTTTTTTTTTTCACCACTATATCAGAGCATAAATTTATAATATAATGGAACCATAACATAGAGTAGCCTTTAATATATTTTTATTGAACAAATGAAATTGGATATGAGACAAAACCATAATAAATAATCTGATCCTCAAGGGCAATCAATCACTCACAATAAAAGCTATAGGGTCCTTCCCTATTCCTCTGGGAAGCTATCACAAATAACCATACGACTCTACAAAGTCCCTTATGGACAAACTACCAGAAGCCACTGGGGCTGGCTGATTAAAAGAGGGGCAATTATACTGGAGGTTACAGGAATATGCAAGTGAAACATGGTCCATTTAAAATCCTATTATATATCATGCAGTATTTTTATGTGGAAATGACCCCAAGCTTCCAGTGGGAGTTGATAACTCTTACTAAGAAACTTGGAATGGAGTCTGATCAGGCCTGTGTCAGTCACCTGAGGTCATGAACTCCAACAGCCTGAAACATCCAGGTCTCTCTGCGGGGCTTTCAAGAAGTTGGACTAAACCTCAGCTAGCTGAGGCTTAGGCATGTCCTTGAGGCTGTCTTGGGGTAGGCTTACATGAAAATGCTCTAAAATGCAGAAACACATAGACGGAGGGTATGAATGGTAACTGGGGTAATGAACAGAGAGATGATTTGCCAAGATGCAGAGGCAGATGGTGGATAAAAACCAAAGCTGAGAGTCAAGAACCAGATTACACCTGATCCAACGGAAGCAGAAAGGGCCAATGAAGAGAGCCTGGGTATACTGCTGTGAACCCTGTGGAGGGTTACGGCTCACTTCTATGGGCTGCTAGGCTGTCTGACTGGCCCGGAGACAAAGGTTGTAAGGAAGCATGAACCATTCCTGTACCCATCCCCAGCAAAGCCAACAGCAGAAGCCTGGAAAGGATTCTAAAGTTTTGGCTTGTGCAGACCCCAGAAATGGAGCAAGATGGTGTCTGCAATGGTTCTGAAATCTTTCTCTTGCTAGGCAGTGAAGGATGATGCTGAGGATTCTGAGTATGCTGACTTCCCATGTTTCATCTCCTCTATGACACCATGCACCTTGCACCATGACTCTTCCTTTGCATCTGTAATCTGTTGGAGTTGGCTCAGAAAAGAATGGGCTAAGTGTCTGACCCAGGGCCTTACAATGTATTCAGTCCATCATTAAAACTGCACGTGCTGGAGTCAACATCATCTATAGAGAGAATCCCTTGCAGCAGTAGATTTGCTGACAGAATTTATAAATCCATCATTAGCTCTTGAGGACAATGAGGCTATTTCTTGCCAGCACTCAGGGATGAATGCATGTGCTGTGCATGCTGACAAACAGCTTTTACAGTTTATAAATACCATAGCACGTGCTCCCTACTCCAATGGGAATATAGCTGGCTTGTCTGCTGCAACAAGGCACAATTTCATCAGATAATTGCTACTGGAAAAATAGCTCTGTGTGTGCTTCATACAGCTGGCCTTACAGCACCATGGAACTTTGCAGTAAAATGTATACCCATGCTGGTATCTGGCAGGATTCATTTGGAAAGAAAGCTATCTTCAAATAAAGCTACACAATGCTTCAAGAAACAAATGTTCTGCTCACTGATTTTTTTAATGATGTAATAAAGTCCATCGTGGACACACATGTAATTGCTTCTCCTCTTTATCTTTCTTATCAGGGACGAGGGACCCCTGATGGCTCCTTACTATGAAGTGTTTATGGGATATACTTGAATAATTTTTACATACTTACAGCCATGATCTTGTTCTTTCCTTTTCATACATTAAGACACTGAAGCTTAGAAAGCTAAAGTAAGTAGTTTCCCCAAGCCCATCTAGAGAGAAATAAACAGATCTGGAACACAAACAGGTATTCTCGGCTGGGTCCAGTGGCTCACATCTGTAATCTCAGCACTTTGGGAGGCTGAGGCAGGCAGATCACTTGAGGCCAGGAGTTCAAGACCAGCTTGGCCAACATGGTGAAACCCCATCTCTACTAAAAATACAAAAATTAGCCAGTGTGGTGGTGTGCACCTGTAATCTCAGCTACTTTGGGAGGCTGAGGCACAAGAATCACTTGAACCTGGGAGGCAGAGGTTGCAGTGAGCTGACATGGCGCCACTGCACTCCAGCCTAGGTGACAGAGCAAGACTCTGTCTCAAAGTATTCTGACTCCAGACCCAGTGCTCCATCTCATCTTCAAATCCCTTGCCAATCAGTGACATTTTTTGTTTTGCAAAAATCTTTACAAATTTCACTTAAAAGTTGCTCCAATATGTTCTGTGATTCTATTTTAGATTTTTATTTCTTAATTCAAAATGATCATCTTTGTCTTTTCACACAATAATACTTCATAAATTACCCTTCTATTGACTACTGTAAATGTCTTCACATCAAATTGTTTTTGGTTTCATTAATATATTGCAAACAGAAAATACCTGGTTCTGCATGGGTACCACATAAGATAAGCCAAAGGATTATCTTTATACCCATATGCATTATAATATCCATATGCATTATATCCATATGCATTATAATATGGGAGCTCATTTATGGAATGTGCACTATATGCCAGGCACTGCACCAGATACTTTATAGAGATTAGCCAATTTCATCCTTACACTAGCCTATGAGAAGGTTGATATCCCCATACACAGATGAGAAGACTGAGGCTCAGAGAGGTTAAAGTGCTTGCCCATGATCACAGACAAAACTAGGATTAGAACTTAAGTTTGATGCAAAACGGCATGTTTTTGTCCACTATCCCTTTTTCCCAAAGAGTAAGTTGTAATATATTAGTACACCATTAACATTAAACCTTGTAGTTGTGTAACTTTGGTGCAGTAGGCTGAATAATGGCCCCTGAAAACATCCATGTTGTAATCCCTGGAAACTGTGAATATTATATCAACAAAGGACTGTGAGGATGTGATTAAATTGAGGATCTTAATGTGGGAAGAGTACCCTGGATTATCCAGGTGGGCCTAAATGTAATCACAAGTGCCCTTATAAAAGAGGTGGAGGGAGGTGTGACACAGAAGAGAAGGAAATGAGACTGTGGAGGCAGAGATTGGAATGATGTGGCCACAAGCCAAGGAGTGCCAGCAGCCATGAGAAGCTAGCAGAGGCAAGGTCCAGATTCTATCCCCAATGCCTCCAGCCAGAACCAGCCCTGCCAACTCCTTAGGTTTAACCCCTAAGATTCAGTTCAAACTTCTGGCCTCCAGACTGGAAGAAGGTAAATTATTCATCCTTTCAGCCACCAAGTTTGTGATAACTTGTCACAGCAGCCATCTGAAACTAAGACTTTTGGGAAAGTCATTTAAGCTCTCTACTAAAACGCCTGTCACACTTGGATGTTGATTAAATTGGGTAGCACCTAAAAAATATTTTCTCTTTCTTCTCCTACTTTCCTGGAAAAAAAAATGAGTAAAAGTTTAAAAACAGGGATTCTTTACAGCAGAAGAAGGGAGCTCTAAATGGAAACCGAATAACTTGAAGAACTCAGACATTCATTATTCAGAGGGCAGTTAGTAGCTGGTTCTACCTTCAGCGAGTGTGAAATAAGGACAAGTGGACTTGCAACTGCCGTTAGCAACATTTAAGTCAAATGTCAGTGGTAAGGTGTGTTCTCTTGGCCTCTGGAGGTCTTGAAAAACTGAGAATAATTGAGACTCTAAGCAGACATCATTTCAATTACTTTTTGAGGCTCACTACATTCCTGTGACTCTTTAGCATAACATTTGTAGAAATTCTTACTCAAACCAGGTGTTCAGAAATGCCAAGTAACTAGAAAGTGATGGTTATGCAATACTAAGGCTGGCTATTTCATAGCATTAAGGAGTCATCATTAATTTTTAGTTTTACTAATGGCATTGTAATCATGTTTAGAAAAAGATTGCTCTTTTAAAGATACTTTCTGAAATATTTATGGATTAAATGATAGGATTGAGACTTGCTTCAAAATAAACTGGGGAGAAGAGGAAGTGAGTCAGAGAGATGAAACAAGTTTCTCAGGAGTTGGTAAAACGTTGAAGCTGGTGATGGTCACAGGGAAGTATATGATACTATTCTTGCAACTTCTGTATATATTTACACTCTTATAATAAAAGGAAGGAGGGGAGGGAGGGAGAAAGGAAAGGAGGGTATCAAGGAGGAGGGGAGCCAAGGGGAGGTGGGGAGGAAGGGGAGGGGAGGACAGGGAGAGAAGGAGGAAGGAAGGGATGGAGAGTGGGGAAGGCAAAAGGGAGGGGATAAGAAGGAGGCAGGGAGGGAGGAAGGGAGGGTGTTGTGTCTATTCTAGTCTGGATTTGGTCTCTGTTGCTATATGGCATACTGTATTAGGCCGTTCTTGCACTGCTATGAAGAAACGCCTGAGACTGGGTAATTTATAAAGAAAGGATGTTTAATTAGCTCATGGTTCTGCAGGCCTTACAGGAAGCATGGTCCTGGCATCTGCTTGGCTTCTAGGGAGGCCTCAGGAAGCTTACAGTCATGGCAGAAAGCAAAGCAGGAATAGACACGTCACATGGCAAAGGCAGGAGCAAGCAAGGCAGTGCAGGGGGTGGTGCCACACACTTTTAAATGACCAGATCTTGCAAGAACTATCACAAAGGCAGCACCAAGGCATGTGAGATCCAACCCCATGATCCAAACACCTCCCTCCAGGCCCTGCCTCCAGCATTGGGGATTACAATTAAACATGAGATTTGAGTGGAGACACAGATCCAAACTATATCACATGCCTTACTCAGGTAAGTCATTCCTTTTCCTCATCTATAAAATGGGAATGGGGCCAGACTGTCACATTCCATGGCTTTAAGCAGTGCTTAGCCATCAAGGACCTGTGAGTTTTCTCTCTCTCAGCTCACCCCTCCTCTTTTTCCTGTGTTCTTAAATGCTTTGGCATTCTTCCTCGGAAGGGCAAAGCAGCAGATGCTGAAAATGAACAAAGTTTAAGCCACCAGGTGATTTTAAAGCAAACCAAAATCATGCACTTTTTGAAGTTCAAGAGGTCTTTCACCCAATATCATTCCAGCATTTTAGGGGCCTTCACTCCTCACCACCAGACATAGGGAAGAAATAAATGATCCTTTGTAAATGTTTTTAATAACCTAAGTTTTAAGGTAGTCAATCCCTTGGGCCCTCAACAACAGGAAATAAAACCTCATTGGTTAGGATTCTACTGAGAAGATAAGAAAAATCAGAGAGTAGTTTAAAATCGGTTTTTGCTATGCACATTTATAATGTAAGCAAAGTTAGAAGGGAACTAGCCATTTTGCAGTAACAAAGCAAATTATACAAGTGTCAGGGATACAAAGAATTCCAGCAATTAATGTATTCATCTCAAATCTAAGAAAACAAGCTCAGAGAGGTTCTCCCCCATCTCCTACTCACCCAGCCAGCAAGCCTGGTGCTAGTCCTAAATCCCCAGGCATCCTGGTGCTCACTTCTTCCTTAAACCAGACATGTAGTAGGTAGGACCTGCCACAAGCTTGTCTAAGAACTTGAGAAATACCTTTGTGCTAACATGAGGCAAACCTTTAACAATAAATTGAACCATATTGAAACTGCTGTTATTCTCAATCAAAAAGTGACAGATATTGGCAGTTCCATATGGTACAAAATACCCATTTCTGAACATTAGTTACAGCTTCTCCGGTAACATTAATCAGCCTCTATAAAATAGAACAGCGGTCTCACAGCATAGAAGCCACAAGACAATGGCCCACCATAACCATCTAGACAGAAACAATAGCAAGTGCCCCTAAAACTCCGAGTTAAACATAAAATAAACGCTTGAGGAAGATTTCAGGCATGTACACAAGCAATTGAGAGACCAAAAGCAAACAATAAAAAAAAAAAACAGGAAGAGCAAGTAAAGTCACCAAGTTACCTATATCAGCATATTTAAACCTCCACAGGAAAAAATAAAATGAGATATCAGCATATCTAAAGGTGAAAGATCTTTTAACTAAAGTAGGGTGGTCAGCAAAATGGGAGAAAAGAGAAGCCACAGAGGCAGAGATTAGCAGTGTATATGGCTGGAAAGTGGGATCTGGGAGGCAACAGACTCCAACTGCTCAGTATCAGTGAAGGTTTTATCCCTAACATCAAACCGAACTCACCAGACTCAGAGACTGGAGCCCTGAACAGCTCAGGTGTCGCCTCCTCCAGGAAGCCTCTTCTCTCTTTGCTCTCTCTCTCCACACAGAGAGATAAAGAGGTGAGCCAATTGACCCCTGTTTCCTGTTGGCCTGAAGGCCCCCAGAGGATAAGGATGGAGTCTCAGTCTGCTATTCCCGGAGGCTGCCCTGAACATATATCAGAGCAAGCACTCAGGAAATGCTGAATGAAAACAAGCGGAAGTTGAATACAATCTCCAGGGCAGAGGGGATGGGAAAGAGAAAATCGACTCAGGTGGCACAGGTGCTTGGAGAGTCAATGGCCTTCCAAACCGCCATAAAGTACTGCTGTGGACGAAAACAAATCTGAGGAACTGGGAGGAGAAAAAGCAGTCACAGGACAAGAAGAAAGAACTGGAAAGAATTACAGGATAAAACTCCCTGAAGTGGTCGGGTCTCCCACAAATGAACCCTGATGCCCAGGACCAATCAACACAGAAACAGGCAGTGCCTCAGTCCCTGGCCAGCATCCCTGAGAGTGCGTGTTCAGCCACTGACTCAAGTCTTGGAGAAAGAAGGAACCCAGCATGTCACCATGTGGGAATGAGGAAGAGGAGCCCTGTGTGGATGGTGGGGAAGCTCAGAGAGGCTAAAATAAACACAAGGCACTGCAACTTGTGGCATGGAGGCCTAGGGATGTGGCAGGGATTCTAACTGAAGAGTATGGCAGGGACCGGGCTGAGAAGGGGCTGGGGGAAGGGTTTGCAGCCGGCCAAGCCCAGAGGGAAGCCACCACCACCACTCATGCCACACAGCAAGCCGCTCTCCAGCAATTAATATGAGACACAGGCAGAAACTCAGTTCCTACACAGGTCCAACTGTCAAAGCTCCCCTTACTCTACTTGGTCTCACCAGTGAAGGCATTTCTAGGCTCTTACAGAGCCACAGTTTCTGCTGTGTCTGCCATGCAGTGTCCTCAGGGACAGACCCTCAGAGCCTATTCCAGCTTCGAGGGGCATTCTAGAAAACTGTCTCTGTAAATAAGTGTATCTGATGTCTGGATTAGGAAAGGGAAGATACATAAGCCAGCATTTTCCCCTTTCAGCTCACATCCTTAAAAAGTCAAAGTCTGACAGTGTTTGTGGCTCTTTGTCCCTTCAGATGCACTGTGTTCTGATGTTTCCTTAAATCCACTCCCTAACACGGCAGAGCAGGGGCCAGTGAAAAGCACAGGCCCTGGAGTCAGCCTCCTGGGTCCAGAGCCCAACCCCACTACTGACTCTTGAACTTCCGCAAGCCACCTTCCCTGCAAACCTTAGTTTCCTCATCTTAAAATGGGAATAGTATCAAACTTTTGCTTCAAGGGATGTTGTAATAAATAAATGCAATTACACAGTTAGCGTATTATCATATGATTATTGCTGTTCTTGTTACTATTACTACTACTGTTACTATTATTACATAAGGAGTCTTCAGTTACTTCACCACTAATTAGAAAATCTTTGATAAAACAAGATCCCAAATTCTATTGCTGTGCCTCAAAACTATACTTATTCCAATATCAAAAATGCATTTTGGAGAAAAGATTTTTTTTTAATGAGCAGGGGGTAACACACATGCATGTAATAAACCTCCAGATTTAAAAGTGGCCATAAACCCTGTTTAGTTATATCCATCTCCGAAGCCATAGAAACATTAAGAGGAGTGATGAGTCAAAGAGTTACCTATATCTGATAATGCCCTTCTTTCAATGAAATGCATCTACAAACATAACAAATCCATGTGGCTCTTCCACTGGAAAGACTTCAGGTAAAGAATCCATAACCAGCCCCTGGTGGCGTGCGTGACAGTCTCCACACATCTCCAAAATTAACACTTTAGCTAAATTCTCTCCACATGGGATAGAATTGCTCTGCCACTGTCTGAAAATGCGTATGTATGTCTTCTTTCTTTGTGAGAAGTTTCTACATGAGATGCAGAAATTACCATCTCTACGGCTATTGGAAAATGTTGGCTCATTTTATAGCTGCTGGCATAGATTTTTCCAGAGATTTAAGTTTCACTCCTCCGGTCATAATGAATCACATCTGTGTATTTGTACAACATTTCTCCCTTCTTCCATTCACTGAAAGTATCCCTGCCTGTGAATGTGTAGGTTTACTCTGCTCTGCAATATTTTTTAGGTAGTGAGATTTTGTCCTAGCAGTATAAATTAGTATAAAATTCAAAAGATATACTGAAGAAATATTTGTAAGAGTACACGCTTCATTCATATATGCCAATTTTGAGTGTGTCCCAAACACCTACATGTTTAATCAGTTTATGCTGGACAGCGCAATTTAGTCATGGACATGTTCTTCTATCTGCCAACTACCATCAAGTCTACTGAAAAAAGAGCTAGCACATGCTTGGTACATACCTAAAATTCAAAAGCATAAAGAAAGGAAGGGCTCTTGGTACTCCAAAAAGAACATTTTTCTTCCAAACCAATCCTGAACATGCTAAAATGTAGTTACTCAACATAAAAACATACAACCAAGACATTCTCCATACTGAATTAGGAAGTTTATTAGGCTCCTAGTTTCCATGTTTAGAACATGAGCATGGATTTACATGCATTGTCTCATTTTGTGGATCTTACATGCATGTCGTCTCAGTCAGCTGCACCTTTGATTCTACTTGTCAGTAATTTAAAGTTAGCTCAATGTGAGTAAATGACAAACACAGAATGATGCATAAGCTGTAGCCACAAACCCCACCCAATACCATTTATCTTATATTCCAAACTATATCACAACTCTCTCTTGTAAAAAATAAATTTCAGAACAAGGCATTTAATTGACCTCACAGAGAAAAATAAAGACAATTCTATCATTTCAGAATTCAGCAATGAATGTCCAACTATGGCTGAAAGGTACACCCTGAGAATTAAATGATTTTAACGAACCCACTGAGGTTTATAAAGCTGTGTTAACCTAATGTCGGGAAAGGATAAGAGAAACAGGCACAAACACCCCCGCTCATTTTGCTGTGCAATTCTCCAAGGAGGTGGTGTTACAAATGTCCTCATTGTCTTCAATGCTTGAAGCATCTGTGGAGTCAGGATCGCTCACCACAATGCCTACAGAAGAGAGACTGGTAATGAAGGTGTGCATCCGCTGTGCATATATATCCCTAATGTTAAAGTAAGGTAGCTCATGACACTTCTCTGGTGCATCCTCACTGCACTGGTCCACATCAATGTCCTTTTGCTTCTGGTAGTACTTGGAAAACTTGTTGAAGATGATGGTGATGGGAAGGGCCACCACCAAGATGCCACAGATGATGCATGTGCTGGCGATGAGCTTTCCCGCCAAGGTGACCGGGTGGGTGTCTCCATAGCCCACAGTTGTCATGCTGATGGTGGCCCACCACCAGCAGATGGGGATGCTGGTGAGGCTGGATGTGTGGTCATCTTTCTCCACGGAGTAGATAAGCACAGAGAAAATGGAAATGCCCACAGAGAGGAAGAGAAGCAGAAGCCCAACTTCATGGTAGCTGTGTCTCAGTGTGGCACCTAGAGACCGAAGTCCTACCGAGTGCCGGGCAAGCTTTAGAATTCGGAAAATCCTCATAAGCCGTAGGATCTGGACCACCTTGCCCATGTTCTCAATATCCTCACTCTCTTCCTCCTTGGTGTCTACAGCCAACGTGGCATAGAAGGGAATAATAGAGACAAAGTCAATGATGTTCAGAGGGTTTTTCCAGAATTTCTTTTGACAAGGAGCGGCAGCCAGCCGGACGGCAAGCTCCCCGGTGAACCAGGCAATGCACGCGATCTCCACTCCTTCCAGCACCGGATCATCCACTTCTCCATCCTCATTCTGGAACTCCGACATGCTGTGAACGCACATGGCCACGATGGAGGCCAGCACCACGCTCAAGGAGGAGATAGCGATAAGCTTAGCGGACAGGCAGTACGCTGGATTCTCCATTCTAATCCAGATTTTCTTCCGGAGCTGACCAAATCGCAGTGTGTCAAACTTCTCCAGCTCTTTCTCAAACAGAGACGACTCTTCAAACGAGGAGTCGGTACTCACATCATGGCTTTTCTGGTCCCAGTCCTTCTCGTGGTTTTCCTCCTTGCGTTCCTGGTAGCGATTGCTGCAGCAAGAATCAATGAAGAGCTCGTTGATGCCCCAGTACTCGATCTCCTGGCAGAATGAGAATACGCACAGCTCCTCCATGACATGCAGCTTCCCCGTGTAATAAAAATTCAAAACATATCTGAACAAGGAGGGATTCCGATCAAAGTAGTACTCCTTATCGGCCACACTGTAATCATCACACAGCTCCAGAATGGCCTCTTCAGAATGGCAAGTAAGCAGCTTCCCCAGTCTGGTGTGAGGAAACCGCAGGAGGGTGCTTTGGTCAACAGACTGCTTAAAGCCCCCCACATTCAGGTTGACAAGTTCCTCGTCTTGTCCAGGGCGATGGAAAAACTCACCAAACACCATGGTGGATACAGAAGGCAGAGTGCTGGCTGGCAAGGGAGAAGAGGAAGATCAGGCTGCACCTGGAAAGAGCACAAGATGATATTAGCACTCTGTCCTGCCGTGCCCAGCCAAGCTTATTTTTAATCTGCCCTTTCCAGGAGGATGGGCTACATTAAAAGCAAAGCAGGAAATGCAATAAAAATGAATACATTATTATGCATTTTGTTCAGAAGAAAATCAACACAAAACAGATTTTTCCCAAAAAAACTTAGGATTTTGGGAACCCATTTTCTTTAGGAAAGAGGAAAGATGGCAATATAATTTGTATGAACCCTAATTGCCATTTCTCTGTGTGTTAAGCATTCAAACTGTACCTCCCAACCTTGCCCCCAAAAATACAATGCAATTTAGATCACTTACATAATACAAGCGTCTCCAGAGATTCAAGCACAAGCTCTTCATGTTTGGGAAAACTCAATTCAGACATGACAGGCTAGTTGCTGCCAGGCTTGAAGCTCATCCCTTCCAATCCCTAGGGCTTGGTCATGCCCCCAACACACTCATCACAGGGGGCTCAGCTCAGCTCTTACAAAGGATGTGAGTTTCCCTTTGCGTACCAATGTTTTACTCCTTTAAGAGAAAGCCCTACTCCCTGTGTTTGGATGTGGACAATCAAGAGGATATAATTATCTCCCTGTGCTTAAGTACCTTATATCTTAAAGATATCATTACACTTCATGGGATGGTGTTTCAGGAACATCCACATGAAAAGAACCTGACTTGGGAAAACCTCTTTATGGTAATTGCACTATCAGTTTCCTGACACAAACCCGCTCCACTCCCACCTCCTCCTTCCCATCACAGACAGTCCCCACGTGGCCCTAATCTATAATTATCTTTCCATAGATTGTCTATACTGGCTGAGCACGTGGCCTGTTTTTAGTTCTGACACTAATCAGGATACACCAGGTCGCTTTCTCAGAGAGAAAATAACAGCTTTTGATCCTCACCCAATGCAATGACGTTTCCTCAGAACAGATGATACAAATAAAAGGAGACTGTCATATACTGAGTCCCCACCTGATACTACTGGAGGCCTTTACACATTATGTCATTCAGTCCTTCCAACACTATATGGTAGCTGGATAGAAAAATGGGTACTGCTCTCAGCCTCTCTAGGTACATAATAGGTAAATGATGGAGCCAAGATTTAAACCCAGGTTGAATTAATTCCAAAGTCCATGTTCTCTCCACTACATAGACTTCCCCCACCTTCTTCCTTTTTATAATCTAATAATCCAATGTGAAGCATGCTATGCGAGAGGTCAGTCAAGCATCTTTGGGATTACTGAGAAAAAAGCAGTGACCTTACCTGGAGAAGCTTCATAGCAGAGGTTATATGCAGCTCAAAGGTTCAAGTGGAGTCCACCTAATATGGTTTGGCTCTGTGTCCCCACCTAAATCTCATGTTGAATTGTGATCCTGCGTGTTGCAGGTGGAGCCTGGTGGGAGGTGATTGGATCATGGGGGTGGTTTCTAATGGCTTAGCATCATCCCCCAAGCACTGTCTCGTGACAGAGTTCTCATGAGATCTGGCTCTTTCAAAGCGTGTAGCATCTCCCCCTTCACTCTCTCTCTCTCCTGCTCTGCCATGTAAGACATGCTGGCTTCCCTTTCACCTGCTGCCAGGACTGTAAATTTCCTGAGGCCTCCCCAGCCATGCCTCCTGTACAGCCTGCAGAACTGTAAGTCAATTAAATCTTTATAAATTACCCAGTCTCAGGTAGTTCTTTATAGCAGTGTGAGAACAGACTAACACACCACCAAACTGAAAGGAAAAGGACATTCCCACCAGAGGCATCGAAGGGTAGACAGAAGCCAGATTGTGGAGGACCCTGTATATCAGTCCAAAGAATCTGTCAGCAAGACCACTAAAGGGTCTTAATCAACAAGTAGACATAGCTAGGTTTGTGACTGTGACTTAGAAAGCCGCCAATGACAGCAGCGTGAAAGCTGCACGGGGCAAAAGCTGGGACCAAGAAGACAGGGCTGCAACAGAACAGGTTAGGGGTGGCAAGGACATGGACACACACAGTGGCAGTGCATATAAAGAGGAAGTGATAAACTCAGAAGAAGTTTATAAGACAGAATCTACAGGATTTGGTAACTGATTGGGAAAAAAAAAGGGACAAGGAAGCAGAAAGGCCAAAAGAGGATGTGTTTTCTAGTCTGTAAAAGTGGGCAGACAGTAACACCATTAAAGGGAGCAGAAAGGTCAGAAAGGAATCTCTTTCCCCTTATGTTTATGGAAAGGCAAGGTTGTCTGCAAGAGAACAAATTCCTCCTCTGAAAAAAAAAAAGGAAATAATAAAGATTAACATGCAAATAAACAAATGGAGAATAAAATTTAAAAAAAATTCAACAAAGCCATTGGTCATTTAAAACAATCAACGAAATTGACAAATCTTCAACTAGGCTAATCAAGAAAAAATGAAAGTACTTTGGGAGGCCAAGACAGATGGATCATTTGAGGCCAGGAGTTCAAGACCAGCCTGGTGAACATGGCAAAACCCCATCTCTACAAAAAATACAAAAATTAGCTGGGCATGGTGTCATGCACATCTAGTCTCAGCTACTCGAGAGGCTGAGGCATGAGAATCACTTGAACCCAGGAGGGGGAGGCTGCAGTGAGCCGAGATCGCACTACTGCACTCCATCCTCGGTGACAGAGTCAGACTCTGTCTCAAAACTTAAACAAAACAAAGGAAAATTAAAAAATGAGAGAAGATTCAAATTAGCAAAATCAGCAATGAAAGAACAATACCACTATTGACCTTACATAATGAAAAGAACTATAAAGGAATACTATGATCAATCATATGTCCACAAATTAGATAACCTAGATGAAGTGTACAAATTGCTAGTGTCAACAAAAAGGGTCAAACTCTAAAATATTTAAAGAGATTTATTTTGAGCCAAATATGAGTGACCAATGGCCTGTGACATAGCCCTCAGCATATCCTGAGAACATGTACTCAAGGTTGTTGGCCTACAACTTGGCTATATACATTTTAGGGAGACACAAGAAATCAATCAATATATGTAAAATGTACATTGGTTCTGTCCAGAAAGCCCAGAAAACTGGCAGCTGAGGTGGGGGGCTTCCAGGCCATAGGCAGATTCAAAGATTTTCTGATTGGCAATTGGTTGAAAGAGTTAAGTTATTATTGTCTGATATGGTTGGGCTTTGTATCTCCACCCAAATCTCATCTCCAATTGTGATGCCCAAGTGTCAAGAAAGAGAACTGGTGGGAGGTGATTGGATCATGGGGGTGGTTTCCCCATGCTGTTCTTGTAATAGTGAATGAGTTCTCACAAGATTTGATGGTTTTATTAGGGGCTCTTCCCCCTTTGCTCATCTCTCATCTGCCACCATGTAAGACATGCCTGTTCCCCTTCTATCAGGATTGTAAGTTTCCTGAGGCTTCCTCAGCTCTGCAGAACTGTGAGTCAATTAAACATATTTTCTTTATAAATTACACAGTCTTGTGTATGTCTTTATAGCAGTATGGAAATTGACTAATACTATAAATTGGCACCACAGAGAGTGGGGTACTGCTATAAAGATACCCCAAAATGTGGAAGCAACTTTGGAACTGGGTAACAGGCAGAGGCTGGAACAGTTTGGAGGATTCCAAAGAAGACAGGAAGATGTGGAAAAGTTTGGAACTTCCCAGAGACTTGTTGAGTGGTTTTGGCCAAAATGCTGGTAGTGATATGGACAATGAGCCCAGGCTGAAGTGGTCTCAGATGGAGATGAAAAACTGATTGGGACCTGGAACAAACACTCATTCTTGCTATGCTTTAGCAAAGAGACTGGTGGCATTTTCCCCCTGCTGTAGAGATCTGTAGAACTTTGAACTTGAGAGAGATGATTTAGGGTATCTGGTGGAAGAAATTTCTAAGCAACAAAGTGTCCAAGATGTGACCTAGGTGCTCTTAAAAGCATTCTGTTTTATGCATTCACAAAAGATCGTTTGAAATTGGAATTTTTGTTTAAAAGGGAAGCAGAGCATAAAGGTTTGGGAAATTTGGAGCCCGATGATGTGATAGAAAAGAAAAACCCATTTTCTGAGGAGAAATTCAAGCTGGCTGCAGAAATTTGCATAAGTAACCAGGAGCTGAATGTTAACTGCCAAGACAATGGGGAAAATTTCTCCAGGGCATATCAGAGGTCTTGGCAGCAGCCCCTTTCACCACAGGCCTAGAAGCCTGGAGGAAAAAAGTTTTTATGGGCTAGGCCTAGGGCCCCGCTGCTCTGTGCAGCCTTGCAACATGGCACCCAGCATCCCAGACATTTCAGCTCCAGTCATGGCTATAAGGGGCCATGGTACAGCTTGGGCCATGGCTTCAGATGGCGCAAGCCCCAATCCTTGATGACTTCCATGTGGTCTTGGGCCTGCAAGTGGACAGAAGAACTGAGGTTTGGGAACCTCTACCTAGATTTCAGAGGATGTATGGAAATGCCTGGAAGTCCAGGCAGAAGTTTGCTACAGGGGCAGAGCCCTCATGGAGAACCTCTGCTAGGGCAGTGCAGAAAGGAAATGTGGGGTTAGAATCCCACGCAGAGTCCCCATTGGGGCACTGCCAAGTGGAGCTGTGAGAAGAGACACCCACTGTCCTCCTGACCCCAGAATGGTAGATCCACTGACAGCTTGCACTGAGCACCTGGAAAAGCCACAGACACTCAACACCAGTCCATGAAAGCAGCTGGGAGGAGGGCTGTACCTTGCAAAGCCATAGGGGTGGAGCTGCCCAAGACCATGGGAGCCCACTTCTTGCATCACTGTGACCTGGATGTGAGGCATGGAGTAAAAGGAGATCATTTAGGAGCTTTAAGACTTAATGGCTCCCCTGATGGGTTTCAGACTTGCCCCTTTGGGGCCAATTTGTTTGGGGGCCAAAACAATCCTTTGCTTTGGCCTATTTCTCCCATTTGGAATGGAAGCATTTATCCAATGCCTGTACCCCCATTGTATCTTGGTAGTAACTAATTTGCTTTTGATTTTAGAGGCTCCTAGGTAGAAGGGACTTGCCTTGTCTCGGATGAAACTTTGGACTTGGACTTTTGAATTAATGTTGAAATGAGTTAAGACTTTGGGTGACTGTTGGGAAGGCATGATTGGTTTTAAAACATGAGGACATGAGATTTGGGAGGGGCCAGAGGTAGAATGATATGGTCTGGCTTTGTGTCCCCACCCAAATCTCATGTTGAATTGTAATCCCCACGTGTCAAGGGAGCGACCTGGTAAGAGGTAACTGGATCATGGGGGCAGTTTCCCCCACGCTGTTCTCATGATAGTGAGTGAGTTCTCACAAGGTCTGATGGTTGATAAAAAGCTCTTTTCCCTTCTCTCGCCACTCTCTCTTGCCTGCCACCATGTAAGACGTGCCTCTTCCCCTTCCACCATGATTGTAAGTTTCCTGAGACCCCCTAGCCCTGCGGAACTGTGAGTCAATTAAATCTCTTTTCTTTCTAAATTACCCAGTCGGGTATGTCTTTATAGCAGCGTGAAAACAGATTAATACATTGTCTAAAGACTTAGAATCAATAGGAATGTCTGGGTTAAGATAAGCAGTTGTGAAGACCAAGGTTTTATCATGCAGATGAAGCCTCCAGATAGCAACTTCAGAGAGAATAGACAGTAAATGTTTCTTATCAGAATTAAAGAGACTGCACTATCAGTCCTAAGGTTCATGTTGATGTTGACGCTGGTAAGCTTTTCCTGAATTCCAAAAAAGAGGAGGGTATAATGAAGCATGTCTTACCTCTCCTTCTCATCATGGTCTGAACTCATTTTTCAGGTTAATTTGGGAATGACGTTGGCCTAGAGGAGGGGTCCATTCAGATAGTCAAGAGGGCTTAGAATTTTATTTTTAGTTTACACTAGAAAGAGATGATCTACACAAACTAACTCAAGAAGAAAAAGGAAATCTGAATAAACCTATTTATTAACAAGTAAAGATACAGAATTTGCAATTTTAAAAATTTTCATATGGAAAGCTCATGTACAGATAGCTTTGCTGGTGAATTTTACCACAATCACCACCAATCTTCCACAAACCCTCCCAAAAATTAGAAGAGAAAGGCATACTTCCCAGCTCCTTCTATGAAGCTAGTATTCTCCTAATACCAAAACTAGAAAAAGACATCACAAGAAAACTACAGGGAGCATCCCTTATGAATACAGATGAATAAATCCTCAACAAAACATCAGCAAACCAAATCCAGCAACATATAAAAAGAATTATATTACCATGAGTAGTGGGATTTATCTCAGGAATTTAAGGTTAACTTAACGTGTAAATCAATCAAGGTAATATAAATACTAAAGAAATAATGAAAATGACATTATCATCTCAAAAGATGCAGAAAAAGCATTTGAAAAATCTAGCACTCTTTCATGATTAAAAACAAAAACTCAAAAACTAAGAATAGAACAGAATTTCTCCAATTTGATAAAGAGCATCTATGAAAAACCCACAGCTAAAAACATATTTAATGAAAAAAGACTAAAAGCATTTCTCTTAAGATCAGGAACAAAACATGAATGTCCAATCCCACCACTTTTATTCAACATTGTACTGGAAGTTCTAGTCAGGGAAATTAGGCAAAGAAAAGAAAGAAAATGCATCCAGACTGAAAAGGAAAAGTTAACCTACTTCTATTTGCAGATGACATGATCTTGTATATAGAAAATCCTATGGAATAGATATACAAAAAAATTAGAACTAATAAATAAGTTCAGCAATTTTGCAGGATACTAGATTGATATACAAAAAAACTGTATCTCTATATACTAGCAATAATACAAATATGAAATTAAGAAAACAATTATATTTTCAATAGCATCCAGAAAAATAAAATATTTAGAAATAAATTTAACAAAAGTGGCATAAACCTGTAAAATGAAAACTACACAATGTTGTTGAAAAAATTATGGAAGAAATAAATGAATAGAAAGACACCCAATGTTCACGGATTGAAAGATTTATTATTGTTAAATGGCAATACCCTCCAAATTAATTCATAGATTAAATACAATTCCTATAAAAATCCTAGCTGCCTTTTTTCAGAAATTGACAAATTGATTCCAAAATTCTAAAACTTCAGAAATTGACAAATTGATTCTTGACACACTTGTCAAAAATCAATCAATAAACTGAAAAATAAGCCCATATGGGCTTTTTGATTGATTTTTGACAAGTGTGTCAAGACAATTCAACAGGGGTAAGAAGAGTCTTTTCGATAAATAGTATTGGAACAGCTGGATAGCCACATGCAAAAAAATCTAAATTGGATATGTATCCCACACTATATACAAAAATTAACTTTAAATACATCAAAGGCCTGAATGTAGGTGTTAAAATTATAAAACTCTTAGAAAAAAAATTAACATAAATTTTCATGACCTTGAGTTAGGGAATGGCTTCTTAGCTATAACACTAAAATTACAGAAAAATAAAGAAAAAATAGTTAAATTGACTTTATCAAAATGTAAAATGCACTTCAAAGGACACTATCAATTCAAAGGACAAGTATCAAGAAAATGAAGACAACTCACAAAATAGAAGAAAATATTTGCAAATCATATATCTGATAAGGATATAGTATCCAGAATAAAGAACTCTTACAACTCAATAATAAAAAGACAAATAAACTCCTTTAAAATGGGCAAATAATTTTGATAGACATTTCTATGAAAACATATAAATGGCCAAAAGGTACTTGAAAAGATGCTCAACATCATTAGACATTAGGAAAATGCAAATCAAAATTACAATGAGACACCACTTCATACCAGTATGATGGCTATAGTCAAAAAGTAATAATAATGCAAATGTTGTATTATGATACATCAGGTGTTGGCAGGGATGTGGAGAAAGTGGAACCCTTGTGTGTCATTGTAAGCAATGTAAAATAGTACAGCCACTTGAGAAAGCAGTTTAAGCCCATTCCTCAAAAAGTTAAACAGGTTTACCATATGACCCAGCAATTCCATTCCTAGGTATAGTCCCAAGAGAACTGAAAACATATGTTCAAACAAAAACTGTATGTAATGTTCGTAGCAGCATTATTCATAATAGCGAAAAAGGGGAGATAATCTAAATGTCCATCAAGGAATGAAGTTCTGACAGACTACAACCTGGATCAACTTTGAAAACTTATGCTAATGAAAAAGGTCTACTTAAAAAAAGACAATAAAAGATCATATATTGTATTATTCCATTTATATGAAATATCCATAATAGTCAAAACTATAGAAACAGAAAGTAGATTAGTGGTTGCTGGGGGCTGGGGGGAGGGGAGATGGGTACTATTAATGGATTTGGGTTTCCTTTGAGGATGATAAATATGTCTTGGAATTAGAAAGTTGTACAGTCATGAATATACCAAGAACCACTGCATTAAACCCATTTTTAAAAAGGTAGATTTTGCTGTATTCAAAGCATATCTCAATAATACTGTCATTTAAAAAGGGATTCCATCCCAGCACTTTGGGTGGCCAAGGCAGGAGGATCACTTGAGCCCAGGAGTTTGAGACCAGCCTTGACAACACAGTGAGACTCTATTTCTATTTATCATTTTTTAAAATTATAATAAAAATAAGTGAATAAATAGGGATTCCAGCTAATAAGTAAAAAAAGAAATAATAGAACTCAAATCTCATAATAAAATAATAGATCTAGGCAATGATAATCAATGGCTGATAAAATCCGGATAAAAAGCTGATGGGGAATTTCATAACAGAGATCAGAGTTACAATATTTGAACCCACTAATCAAGCCTAATATAATAAAATAACTAGATTTTACTGAACAAAATAAATATTTTAGAGGAATATGGTCAATAACACCACAGGGGTGCAATCAGCAAAATCAAGACTGGGAAACCATACAGGACAAATGACACAGATCAAATAAGAGGCATATCAAACAAAGCCAGTGTACAGACTTTGTACAGATCCTGATTCTAACCAGCCAAATGCTTAATATATGTATATGTATTTATATATATATATATATATATATATATATATATATATATATATACACACACACACACATATATATGAAAATCAGGGACATTTGAAAACTGATATGGTCTGGCTCTGTGTCCCCACCCAAATCTCACGTCAAATTGTAATCCCCAAGTGTCAGGGGAGGGGCCTGGTGGGAGGTGATTGAATCATGGGGGCAGACTTCCCCTTGCTTTTTTCATGATTGTTAGTGAGCTCTCACAAGATCTGGTTGTTTGAAAATGTGTAGCATCTCCCACTTCACTCTCTCTCGCTCTCCTGCTTCACTATGGTAAGATGTGCTTGCTTCCCCTTTGCCTTCTGCCATGATTTTAAGTTTCCTGAGGCTTTCCCAGCCATGCGGAACTCTTAATCAATTAAACCTCTTTCCCTTATAAATTATTCAGTCTCACGTAGTTCTTTATAGCAATGTGAGAATGAACTAGTACAAAAACCAACTAGATACTTGATATTATAAAAAAAATCATTGTTAATTTTTCAGTGTCCCAATAGTAATATAATTATGTTCTTAAAAGAAAACCCTTATCTTTTGGAAATACATACTAAAATATTTATTGATAAAATTACACAACATTGGGGATTGATTTCATAATAATACATGGAAAGGCAGGAGCTCTGATCATACAAGATGGCTATGAGTTAATCACTGTTGCAGCGGGTCATGGATAGGCACAAAAGAGTTTAATGTATTATTTTATTTTTGTACATGTTAAAATTCTCCATTAAAAATGTTTTAAGAAAAATGTGCTAAGCATCTTTTTTCAGGCTATGCACTGTGGTAAGTGCTTTCATATACACTATTATTCACTCTTTTATTCTCAACAACTGGTGCAGTACATAGGCACTAGCAGGCAATGAGTACATGTAACTGAATGAATGAATCATTGTCTTTAATTCTCTAACAGCCCTAAGTCATAGACCTTAGACTCCCGTGTTGCAAATGGGGACATCTGAGGCTCAGAATTTGCCCAACGTTGTCCACCTTTTATGCGGCAGACTCTTTCCACAATGCCTCAAATATGAGTATTTAAAGTTTATTTTTTTAAGTGGGAGGAGGTAGAGACTGGCTGATGTTCTCATTTGCATATTATGTCAGCCATACTGTAAGGAGATTGACATTCACATGCTGAAGACACATGGGGTCTAAAATCAGGCACATCTGAGGGTACAGTGGCATTGGCCACAAAGTAGAAGACCCAACTGCTATTTTCATTCTCTTCTTAAAGCTAAACTTAGCTTCACTGTATTGATTCTCCTCCCTACTATCAACCCACATCACTCATGGTGAGAACACTATATATACAGTATTTGACCACCTTGTCCCTCTTGGTGTTTATAAGATTGAAAAGAAGAAGAATATGTCAAAAATCCAAGAAACTCCCTGGCAGCGTAAAATGAAAACTACCATTGATTCAGTTGTCTCCAACTGGCACCCTGTAAAGCTTTTTCAAAGCCATTAACCTTTTATTCGCCTCCTCTTGGTCCACTTCCTGCTCTTGTTGCTTCATGCTCTCAAACTCACCTAAGAAAATATTCTCAAAATTGTGTCTTTTCAAGGCTGACTCATACACATATACACAAGCTCATGGCTGTCTCTGATAATGCACCTGCTTTGCTCAGAAAAGTAATGAAAGTATTATAATACAAGCCAATTTGTCTTACTGGACAGAACTGCTTTTTGGTATCAATTTCATAAAAGTAAATAAAAACCCAGATTTGTTTTTCCTTCTTGTTTTGTAGATGTCCAAAAATCTACATTAATCCTTTTTCATCAAAGAAAAAAATACACCATTTTCAGCATTTAACACTGCCTTCTTTTTGGAACATTCTTCTAAGAGTTTTCTTTTATTCTATTAAATTTAAAAAGAAAGCTCATTTTGATTTTTTTAAAGAGTAGGTCATGCTAAATTCAATTTCTGGTCATGCCATGTGGGGATATACAAAATGGAAAAACCAAGCAAACGTAAACAGAATTGGAAACCTAAACTCAATCCATACCCATGTCTCCTCCTTACCAACCTCCTACCAGGTGCCTCCCTGGTAAGAGTCTTCTCTTACAGCATTGTCTGAGCATGGCGAGGATCCTACATGGAGCCAACACCTCCAGTAGCTTTCCAAGTGGTGCAGCCCAGTCCACTGAGGAAGGCTTGCTGTAAAGCGTGAATCCCACCGGCCAAACAGTCAGGCAAGAAAACTCCCTGCCAGGTCTGTTCTGCGCTGGACATGTTCTGACAGCATGGGCCACAGTTGGACAACACATGAATGACACAGGTCCATACAATTTGCAGGGTCCCAGGGTGCTCTATTCCAGAGCATTCATAAACTGAATGCAACGTTTCAATGTTGAACTTAACAAAACAAAAACAGCATGTCCTCTTATTCATGCTGAATTATCAGCATCAACTAGCAAAAAAGAGGGAAAGACTAGGATTCTGAAAACTTGTGTCTGAGCTGCCTCTTCTTATCTGCATGACCTTGGGCAGGTGAAGTCTTCATCTATAGAAGGAGTTTATAAACCCACCTTGAGGATAAAATAACAAATGTAAAAGTCTTTTGAAAACATAAAGCACAAGCCACATGTAAAACTGTGTTCCAAAAATAAAAGACTGATATAATGGTATTTCTACCTTCCCCCACTTCCTTCCCCTATTCCCTTCCCTTCTCTTACTCCCACCAACTAGTACAATCACATTAAAGTTGTACTCACTCCCTCTGGATCTGTATTTAGTGTGACTGCTACTCTCTGGAAACTCCAGGGATCTCTGTAATTCACACAGCTCATCTCCAAGCAGAGAGCTGCTCAGAAGGCTGAGTGATTTAGTGAGCCAAACAACCAGAAAGCTGTCCTCTTTGTAAAAAGCAAAGAATCGTAGATGATAGCTTTTCAAACAGAAACAGGAAAAACCTGGACTTTACCACAAGAGGGGCCCCTAGCCCTGCTGTAAATACTCCATCACATCTCCAGCTGAGCCAGGTTGCTTGGAATCAAGCACATACAGAGGTCTGTCATGGGAAAGCTCTGCTGCCCAGGGGAGGGAGTTTTGGAGAATTTGGGCCCAGGCCAAATTAATGGTTCTCTCTTCTCTACCCTCTCCCATAGCCCATTTGTGTACACCTTGATTTTAGCACATATCACAAGGCATTATGATGTTATCTACAATTCTCCTTATTCCCCACAAGTCTGATTGTTGCTCACTCTAGACTCCAAGCTTCGCTGTGGAAGGGACCATGTATTATCCTCTTACAGCTATAGCCCCTTATGCTAAGTGCTGCCCACAATCTAGTAAAAGATACTTGCTTTTATCTGGAGGAATTAACAAAGGCTATTACTACTTTTGTCAAAGAGCTAGCAGAATGATCTAGAACAGGCATGGCAAAATTAAATACCTCCGGTGACCAAACAAGTCAAACAAATGAGATGGTTGGGGATGGTGGTGAACTGTCCCCACTTGTCTAAGAGGCAGAGGCTACTCAGCACTAGAATCCTTTTTAGGAACAGAGGCCCAGTATAGACATATCATTCCGTCTTCCCAGGAGAACCTGGAAACCCTGATCCTTATGTGGAATATCTCAAGTTTAGTTAGAATTGATCCAACATGTTTGAAGCATGATGTGGCTCAAACAAAGATGTGCCTCTGGCCCAGGTACATCTGATGAGCTACCCAGTCTGTGACCTGAGCCAGACTCTGACCAATTCCAGTCCACAACACACATTTTAAGCCAGACTGGCTAACATGAACACAAATGGAACCTAGTTACAATAACAGTAGTGTCATTCTCTCAAGTCTGAACTATAAATGTCAAAAAAGGGAGAGGGAGAAAATGTGAACCACAGCATTTTCTAAAGTTGGCCAGTGGTGTCCCTTAATATAACTCCAATCTAATCCTTTGAGACCAACACTTTTCTTCCCATAGTCATCTGTCCCAACTGCCCAGTGGATTTGACCATCAGAAGTGTCTAACTTTCATCTTTCTCACTACACTGTAACGCTCATTCTCATCCTCCTTTGATAAATAATGGGTGCTTGAGAAAATAAGATAGAATGGCAACTCTTACCCTTGAGGTGGAGATGCCACACGCTCTGCCTTCATCCTGCCCGGTGGGACGTCCATCATCATCCAAGAAGCTCTGCCCTTCTCAGCACACTGGAATGTGTGGTGCACATAGGCATTTGGTGGCCAAAAAGAAGGGAAGAATCCTGTTCTCTGGTTGTACAGGCCAAAGCAATCACTGGAAAATCACTCTCACCTGCAGAAAAAACCATCAGCCAAGCTGTAACTGCAAGGAAGAAATACACCCAAGACATTCTACCTCAGGATCAACACTCTGGGCACTTTGCTGATGAGACTCAAATCTGAAAGCCCCACCTAATTCTCAGCAAGTGGGGGGTGGTCTCTTCCCCCTGTGGAACCATCACTGCCATTGGACATGTGCTAGGTTTAAGGATCCTCAGAACTCAACAGTAGTGAAAGTCTTAGGATTCCTCTACTGACAGAGGCCACTAAAACATCTAAAGATAAAACCAGGCACTAGAATTAGGGCTGCAGTTACCTACTCCCACATGGTTTCTTATAGAAGTGTTATTCTCCCAGCTAATTCATCGAGATATACTTGTAAGCTTCTAAATGAACGCATTCTAATCCATTTCAAAATCTACCTTCTGGGTATTACTGCTATAATAGAATTAACACTGCTGCTCTAATTTGAAATCAATAGATTTCAAAGGCTGGCCAAATTCAATTTTGCTTTATTTGCCCATTATTATATTTCACAGATCAGAAATGACACAGGTGCAATCACAGTTTATGTGTGTGGTTATGTATATGAAGTGTGTGTTGGGGGGATGTTTTAAGTTTCTGTCACAACAAATAAAAAGCCAAATTTCAGTTTCTCTCTCTGAATAAATTTTAAAAGGCAAAAAAAATCCAGTTTCCACCCAGGTAAGCCTTGCCTCATGCTGATGCATTCCCATACATTGGTACTAGCTTCTAAGCATCCATCCATTGATTTTCATGTTTTTCAATCCACACCAGGTCCAAAAGGGGGAGGGAAAAAAAAGAAGAAGAAGAAAATATTGATTCTGATAAAAAAAAAAAAAAGTGCCTCTGGCTAGGCCAGTGATTAAACAAACATTCACTGTGGTTTATGATCTGCTGGGCATTATCTTAGGCACTGGGATTATAAACCAGATGCAGTGCCTGCCCCCAGTCCCTCAAGAGCTCTCAGGCCCAAAACCAAATAAACAAGTGAATAGCATCCTAACAACATCAAGGGGCAATGGAGGGGGAATGAAGCAGGAACACAGTTTCCAAGTTGTCCCAGCAACAGCAGAGCAATCCTTCAGCACATCTGGACTTTGCAGAGGGGTAAATTCCCACCTCCAACAGAGATTATACTGAAGAAAGATCCAGAAGCCAAATGCAGCTCCACCCAAACTGAACTTATAAGATGGAACACTTAGCAGAGGAGGTAGAGAAATCTCAACAGGGTAAGTAAAATCAATTCAGGTGCTAAACTCCTCCTCCTTCCTCCTCCATGCTTTCCTCCTCCTCCCCTTCCTCCTCCTCCTTCTTTCTCCCTCTTCCTCCTTCATGGCCTCTCAGTGGCATGTCCTTGGGTCAGCCTCAGTTCTCTGCATTCCAATGAAACACAGAACTGCTGCTGCACCTTGGTAAAAGGATATAGCACACACATAGTTTTCCTTTCCCTATCAGATGCCTTTCCAACTGTAGCACACTTTAAGGGAAGGTAGGATTAATCTGGCTGAGAGGTAATTAATAAATCACTATATTAATTACTAAAGAAAAAATAACCAAATATTTAGGCTATGCAGCATTTCTAAGTATCCCCAAGCACCGCCTAAAGTTCATTGCACTGGCTTACCACAGAAAGGTCAGGGCTGGTCCACAGACAGACTGAGAGGTTAGCCAAGTGTATCCTTTTTATAGCACTGGTATGTAATGGGCCTTTAGTCTATGTCTAATGAATAAATGACATCCCAGGCTGTCCCTTTCTCTCTCCCTCCCCACAAAACTCAGAATTCCTGTGCCTTGCCCCATTTTCCATCACCATGATTCCTATCCAAAAAAACTGGATTTTCAGACAAGATGTAATACCAGACAATATCTCTTGTTATGAATTTATGTAAATTAGCACCTCTCTAAGAGCATTCACATTCTAAGTGTGACTTCTCAACATAAAATTATAACTAGCATCTTCTGAGACCCACAAGAAGCTAAGCACCTTTTTAGGATTTTTACACACATCTCCTCTGCCCTCAGCCATTATAAGTGGTATTATCCCCATTTTATATGGGGGACATTGAGGCTCAGAGAAGTGATTTGTCCAAAGTCCTACACCTAAGGTGCACCACAGCCAGGAGTTAAACTCAGGTAGATCTGCCTGAGTTCAATTAGTGTGGAAAATCAAGATCCCTCTTAGTTGTTGGGGAAGGTCAAGCAGGGATTGGGGGGAGTGAGCAGAACATGACCCAAGCCAGTAGGCTTTGGGGAAGAAAAATGTGTCCATTCAACATATCCTCCCATTCTCCCATTCCTGCCTAACAATCCCATCCAGCGTTTCCATTTCTCTATGTTCCTACCAGCCCGATCAGTGTTGGCCTGTTCAAAAGAAGAGAGCATTGTTTGTGACTTAGCACTTAACAGGTTTCTGACTTTGCTGAGTGATTCAGCCCGATCCTGGAAAACACATCAAGCTCACTCAAATATTGCCACCCTCTGCAGAATTCCCTCCTTTCTTCACAAAACTCTCTGCATCATCCTTTTACTTCCCTCCAGGCTGGCTGCATTTCCTGGTGGGTTGACTACAGCATTCAAAAGTGAACAAATGACTGCCTCCATTATTGAGAGGGAAAAGGTAATGACTAAGTGGCATATTGGACTCTTTCATCTTCCAGACTCCTGACACCCAATCTTGGAACAGAACCCAAGGAAAAGCAAATGGACAGCAGACAGTCCACATGAGTGAGAATGACTCCCTGCACCATTCTCCCAGGTCTCAGAATCATAGGAGTAAGGTTGCCCTCCAAAAACTACAAAATCAGTGCCTGATAGATCAAAGCAGACACTCCAAGTGACAGTGCACCGTAGGTCTGTGTCCTCTGTGCTTGCACAGAATCCTGTGTGGCCCCATCACTGTCCTGCCCACAATCTTCTGAAATGTTGTCACATCAGTGCCACCCTCTAGACTGAGAAAGCCTCCAGTTAGGGACAGTGTCCTAATATCAATCTTCATATTAATTATCGCTGTCACAGGGTAGTGCATGACACATTTTTTGAACCAATTCCTCTTCCCTGAGCCAACAAGACTAAAGAGTAAATTAATGAAAAGAATAAATGTGGATAATGAAAGGCAGCTGGTAAGTAGTAGCAGCAGAGAAGGAAAGTGTGAAAGACTGAGGCTGGTTCCCACGACCAATCCCAGCAGTGGTGAAAACAGAAGAGTCTTAACCTGAAGACTCAGCATGTCCAACCCAAATGGTGGGACATCTCAAGAGTGGGGTTTTGAATGTCAAGACCTCGGAGTTTCAGGTATCTGTATAATCCCCAAAGACTTCCCTTTGTTCTGACTCCAGGCTCCCTGAGGTGCCTCCTGCTGATCTGGGTTCCCACACACCTTGCTATGAGGAGCAAACGAGCTATGCGGCCAACACAAGTGTCTACTCTGTCTGCTAGTTCTGTCTATGACTGTAATGGAACTTAGTAAGACAGGAAGAGGTGTATTTATGCAATTTCCTGTGAGTTTCAATGCAAGTCAACCTCCTACAGTTTGATCAGCTCTGGGACACCTGAGGTGAAATTCTGTAGTTGCAAGGCTAAGAGATAGCTGACTCCGACCCAACCTGTGATAATCTTACCTGGGAAATGGGACCTGTGAGTACCCTCCTGGCAGCAGCTAGCTTATCTGGAGATATCCTAACCTTGAAAACTTCTACGGCAAGATGTCTCAGCCTCGGCACTATTGACATTGTGGGGTCAGGTAATTCTTTCTTGTGGAGGCTGTCCCATTCACAGTAGAGTGTTTAGCAGCACCCCTAGCCTTCATCTACTAGATGCCACTTGTACACCACCCACCCATCACAATACTGTGACAACCAAAAATGTCTCCAGATACTGCCAATATCCCTTGGAGATCAAAATCATCCCCACTTAAGAACCAATGCTCTATAAGTACAGGAAAAGAACCTCAGGCACCTGTTTGGGAGCTGGAAGGTCAGAAGACTGGGAATGACAAATTGTACTAATACTTCATCTGCTGACAGGGGCTGGGGATACCCTCCCAACACTTGTTCTTTTAGAATTCAGTCATGGCATTTACAGTGTCATACAACCAAAACTTTAAAAATGAAGAAAGATAAAAGCAAGTTTAACCTTTTGTGGAAACTCAAACCATGCTTCATGCAATTTGAGTCTAAAGGTTAGTGAGTCTGTCTTAAGTTTTCTAACATTTTAGTGCCAGAATGATATACTGTGCATATGCACTAATCTAGTTTCAGATCTATAGCCTGCTGCAGCTTTCTGCAGGTAGGCTATTCAGCCTGCTGAATACGCCCACTCCTGACCGAAGTTCCAACCTTGTGGAGACTAATTGGTGTCCCTGGAAAAAATGCAAATTCATGTCAGTTTTGTAGTCTTGCTACCATACATCAACGACAGACCTACTTTTAATAAAATCTGAGAGCAATAAAATTATATGAATAATAACAAAAGGTGAAATCCAACCCTACCTCTATCTGGCTTAACTATTGAAAACTGTCACCCAGTGTTTAATTAAATAAAATTAAAATATCATAATCATACTGCCATAATTGGATTTAGTGTGCTAGAAAAAAAATGTACTGATATTTAAATCCTATAATCCAAAGCAATCAGAATCAAACATCTTCCAGTTGATTCAGACAGGGCATGACTAAGAATATCCCTCCACTACTAACTCTGTCCAAATTTAACTGTCAAATTTCAAGAAGTACCTTAAGTTAATATGGCAAATCCTTGAATTAACATGATTTTTAAAAATCTGTCCCTAAAAGAAAATGAAAACTTCTCAGGGTCTAATATATTCAGGGACAAACCAGTAAGTGCTTTCTAAAGCAAAGTCTCTAAATTATTTTTGAAAGGTTAGTATAAATTATATTTTTCTTGGTCATTCAGAGTGAGTAAATGCCATACCAACTGCAGGAATCCCAAGACTTGATGCATGGGTAACTAAATACCACCTTCCTTTCCTCCTGCTCTATGTTTCTAGACAACCTCCCCCTGGGGAATGGAGGGGAGGCAGCAGGGACGCAGCTGTGTTGCCTTGGCAAGAAAATCTAGAGAAAGGAAAGGAGAGACAGGCAGACCAGGCGCTTCCCTGCGGAAGGGTGTGCACCTCATAGAAGGAAGTACAACACAGTCACTGAGTGTTGACAGGGCTCTAGGGTCACTCTGAGTGGTCCATGCAACTGCTCCTGGCCACAGAAAGGAACTGCACTGGCTCCATCCACCTTGTAGTCATCTCCCTACCGCATGGCTAGCTGGAGACAGAGGCTAGGGCTGTCCCATTTGAATGCATCAAACAACTGCACTAACACAGGCCGATAAAGAGGAACTGAAAGCAAGCAGCTTTGGAGTGAGCAGGAAAGTATCATACAATGATAGCAGTGAAAACTTCTTAAAGAAACCTTTCTGGAGGACATCATAGCAATGTGTATCACAAAATCCCAGGGTTTCACATTTTGGCATGTGTCCTGAAGAAATAAATCAGACAAGCGTTGAAAGATGCATGTACAAGGTTGTTCACTGCATCATTATTTGTAAGAGTGAAATGTCAAAGACAGCCTGCACGTCCATCAATAGAGGAATGATTAAATAGACTGGGGGTAGCCATGCAATGAATACTCTGTAGCCATTAAAAATGCTGAAATAATAAAAGTTACAGAAGTTACAGCTTCCTTATACTAAGTCTGGCCCTGTGCTTTTTACATGTCTAAATCCATTTAATCCTTGCAGCACTCAGACAAGTGGTGTTTTTATTGCATTCGTTTTGCAGATGGAGAAACTGGTAAATAGAGAAGTTAACTGATTTTAGGGAGTCAACAGCTATTAAGTGACAACTCCATGATTCGAATCCAAACAATAATTCTTCAAAGCCATTCTCTTAGCTACTACAGCTCTACTGCATGTAAAACCATTAAAAAGTCACAATATGCTAAGTACAAAAGAGAAATAATTATGACGCAATATATAGCATGATCCTATCTTTGTAAAATATGTCTTTTTAGAGTAAATGAGAATATATACCAAAATGTTAAATTCATTGTCTCTGGATAATGGAATTTGGAGTGATTTTGCTTTCTACTCTCTACATCTCAACATTGTGTACATTTCTTACTTTAAATAAATAGGTATTATAAAATATTTATGAAAATAGTTATTTCTACATAGAAAAATAAAAGGTCATAAGCAGCTCCAGTCAGCATCTGGGCAGAGGAAAAGGGGAATGAGATAGATATCAAATGAACTTATAGATTCACATGAGAAAGGATCCCCAGCCCCCAGCCAAAGCCCTCCACTATCCTGAGCTAATGCTATTCATTCATGGCTGCTTTATGACAGGCAGTATCCTGGGAACTACCAAGGACAAAAGATAACATGGATCTTGCCCTCAAAGCTTACAGGAGCTGAGAAGAACAAAAAGGAGGGTAAATGGGTAAATAAATAACGGCAATACAAGGTCCAGTAGTATGTCAGGCATGGGAAAAGGTACAGAGACGGTATTGAGGAAGTTCAGAAGAGGTAGAGTCCCTCGAGATAAGGAAGCGGGGACAGCTACATGAATAGGTAGTATTTGGAGATAATCCTTGAAGAGCGAGTCAGGTATGAACAAGTAAAGGAGCCAGGTAAGGGTAAGAAGGCTCTTCTCCAAGGAGAGAAAAGAACACATACAAAAGCATGGTGGCAGGAAAGCTCGTGGTATGGACAGAGAGCAGAAAATGGTAGACTTGGGCTATAGGAAGTAGCCTATGACCTAGAGCTATTTATACAGATTATTTCTTTTAAAATATGAAGAATTCTGCCTGTACTATCCACATCTTTGTGAATTAGGAATACCAAAGTAAGAGATGTCTATGGGAGAGGAGAATGGATTGATTGCCTGTGGCCACACAGAGAATCTGCGGCTACAAAAGGACCACACCTCGGGCCTCCTGAAAGATTTAGCCACAAGGAACCAATCAGAGACTATAAAGACCTCTTGGAGTTACTGCTCTTCCTAGAACATTTAAAAAAAAAAAAAGTAGACACTTCCACTGGGTGTGCCAATCCACCAAGAATCCCAGTGATCTGAAATGGCAAGCAGTGAATTCCAGTAGTGCCAACTGATATGCTGACAACAACAGAAACAGCAACATTTCATTACTTCATCCCTCTCCTCTTTTGTATTCCATTTAAACTGTTCACCTAAGAGTTAGAGTAGGGGGTCTGTGTTGAAATTCAGGAGGTCCTTGAATTTAGACAGAAAAAAATATTTATTTTCACCAATCTCTAACTAAAATTTTAGCAATTCCTTCCATTAAAAATGCAGGCATTGGCCCAGGGTAGTGTGTATTAGCAGTGCCAATGACTTCACACCAATAGAAGTATGAATAGCTTCATATCCTATCAGAGTTATTGAAGAGATCTCAAAATATCATTTATACTCATTATTACTTTGGAATCACAGTAGTTATAGACCTACTGCTAGATTTTATTTAAAGAATTAATAAGCAAATATATTGCTAACTCATAAATTGCTTTTACTATTTTGGTAATTGCATTTCAACATAACTGGATTCCTTTACATCCTGTAGGTTTCATCTTTTGTGTTTAAACACGCTATTCTGAAAAGGGGTCCATAGGGTTTCTCAGACTCCCAAAGGGGTTCATGGCAAAAGGAAGGATTAAGAATCCTTTAGCTAGAGATCCTGTTAAAATGTGCATCACATCATGTCCCTCCTATGTTCAACCCTCCAGTGGCTTCCATCCTACTCAGAGTCAAAGTGCCCACCATCCACCCTCCCCTAACTTCATTTGTCTGATCTTACCTCCTACTCCTCTCACCCTCTATCATTCCCATCTGTCATCCTGGTCTCCTTGCTAATGCTTATCATGCCAAGTGAGCCATATCCTAATTCAGGGCCTCTGCAGTGGCTGAACCCTCTGCCTGGAATGCTCTTTCTTCTGCATGGCTTGCCCTCTCACTTCCCTCAAGTCTTCACTCAAATGATATCTTCTCAACAAGAACATCCTCAGTTAGCCTATCTAAAATGTCAATAACCCGAGGTGGGGCAGTTCCAAGATGGCTGAATAGGAACAGCTCCGGTCTACAGCTCCCAGCATGAGCAACGCAGAAGACGAGTGATTTCTGCATTTCCAACTGAGGTACCGGGTTCATCTCACTGGGGCTCGTCAGACAGTGGGGGCAGGACAGTGGGTGCAGCCTACCGAGTGTGAGCCGAAGCAGGGCAAGGCATTGCCTCACCTGGGAAGAACAAAGGGTCAGGGAATTCCCTTTCCTAGCTAAGGTAAGGGGTGACAGATGGCACCTGGAAAATCAGGTCACTCCCACCCTAATACCGCACTTTTCCAACGGTCTTAGCAAACAGCACACCAGGAGATTATATCCCATGCATGGCTTGGAGGGTCCCACGCCCACGGAGCCTCACTCATTGCTAGCACAGCAGTCTGAGATAGAACTGCAAGGTGGCAGCGAGGCTGGGGGAGGGGCGCCCGCCATTGCTGAGGCTTGAGTAGGTAAACAAAGCAGCCCAGAAGCTCGAACTGGGTGGAGCCCACTGCAGCTCAAGGAGGCCTGCCTGCCTCTGTAGACTCCACCTCTGGGGCGGGCATAGCCAAACAAAAGGCAGCAGAAACCTCTGCAGACTTAAATGTCCCTGTCTGACAGCTTTGAAGGGAGTAGTGGTTCTCCCAGTACAGAGTTTGAGATCTGAGAATGGACAGACTGCCTCCTCAAGTGAGTCCCTGACCCCCGAGCAGCCTATCTGGGAGGCACCCCCCAGTAGGGGCAGACTGACACTTCACACGGCCGGGTACCCCTCTGAGACAAAGCTTCCAGAGGAACGATCAGGCAGCAACATTTGCTGTTCAGCAATATTCGCTGTTCTGCAGCCTCCACGGCTGATACCCAGGCAAATAGGGTCTGGAGTGGACCTCTAGCAAACTCCAACAGACCTGCAGCTGAGGGTCCTGACTGCTAGACGGAAAACTAACAAACAGAAAGGACATCCACACCAAAACCCCATCTGTACGTCACCATTATCAAAGACCAAAGGTAGATAAAACCACAAAGATGGGGAAAAAACAGAGCAGAAAAACTGAAAATTCTAAAAATCAGAGTACCTCTCCCCCTCCATAGGGATGCAGCTCCACGCCAGCAACGGAACAAAGCTGGATGGAGAATGTCTTTGACGAGTTGAGAAAAGAAGGCTTCAGACGATCAAACTTCTCCGAGCTAAAGGAGGAAGTTCGAACCCATGGCAAAGAAGCTAAAAACCTTGAAAAAAGATTAGAAGAATGGCTAACGAGAATAATCGGGGTAGAGAAGTCCTTAAATGACCTGACGGAGCTGAAAACCATGGCACGAGAACTACATGACGAATGCACAAGCTTCAGTAGCCGATTCAATCAACTGGAAGAAAGGGTATCAGTGATTGAAGATTAAATGAATGAAATGAAGTGAGAAGAGAAGTTTAGAGAAAAAAGAGTAAAGAGAAATGAACAAAGCCTCCAAGAAATATGGGACTATGTGAAAAGACCAAATCTACGTCTGATTGGTGTACCTAAAAGTGACGGGGAGAATGGAACCAAGTTCGAAAACACTCTGCAGGATATTATCCAGGAGAACATCCCCAACCCAGAAAGGTAGGCCAACATTCAAATTCAGGAAATACAGAGAATGCCACAAAGATACTCCTCGAGAAGAGCAACTCCAAGACACACAATTGTCAGATCCACCAAAGTTGAAATGAAGGAAAAAATGTTAAGGGCAGCCAGAGAGAAAGGTCGGGTTGCCCACAAAGGGAAACCCATCAGACTAACAGCGGATCTCTTAGCAGAAACTCTACAACCCAGAAGAGAGTGGGGGCCAATATTCAACATTCTTAAGGAAAAGAATTTTCAACCCAGAATTTCATATCCAGCCAAACTAAGCTTCTTAAGCGAAGGAGAAATAAAATCCTTTACAGACAAGCAAATGCTGAGAGATTTTGTCACCACCAGGCCTGCCTTACAAGAGCTCCTGAAGGAAGCACTAAACATGGAAAGGAACAACCAGTACCAGCCACTGCAAAAACATGACAAATTGTAAAGATCATCGATGCTAGGAATAAACTGCATCAACTAACGAGCAAAATAACCAGCTAACATCATAAGGAGTGGATCAAATTCACACATAACAATATTAACCTTAAATGTAAATGGGCTAAATGTTCCAATTAAAAGACACAGACTGGCAAATTGGACAAAGAGTCAAGACCCATCAGTGCGCTGTATTCAGGAGACCCATCTCACGTGCAGAGACACACATAGGCTCAAAATAAAGGGATGGAGGAAGATCTACCAAGCAAATGGAAAGCAAAAGAAACCAGTGGTTGCAATCCTAGTCTCTGATAAAACAGACTTTAAACCAACAAAGATCAAAAGAGACAAAGAAGGCCATTACATAATGGTAAAAGGATCAATTCAACAAGAAGAGCTAACTATCTTAAATATATATGCACCCAATATAGGAGCACCCAGATTCATAAAGCAAGTCCTTAGAGATCTACAAAGAGACTTAGACTCCCACACACTAATAATGGGAGACTTTAACACCCCACTGTCAACATTAGACAGATCAACGAGACAGAAAGTTAACAAGGATATCCAGGAATTGAACTCAGCTCTGCACCAAGCAGACCCAATAGACATCTACAGCACTCTACACCACATATCAACAGAACATACATTCTTCGCAGCACCACATCACACTTATTCCAAAATTGACCACATAGTTGGAAGTAAAGGACTCCTCAGCAAATGTAAGAGAACAGAAATTATAACAAACAGTCTCTCAGACCACAGTGCAATCAAACTAGAACTCAGGATTAAGAAACTCACTCAAAACCACTCAACTACATGGAAACTGAACAACCTGCTCCTGAATGACTACTGGGTACATAATGAAATGAAGGCAGAAATAAAGATGTTCTTTGAAACCAATGAGAACAACGACACAACATACCAGAATCTCTGGGACATTTAAAGCAGTGTGTAGAGGGAAATTTACAGCACTAAATGCCCACAAGAGAAAGCAGGAAACATCTAAAACTGACAACCTAACATCACAATTAAAAGAACTAGAGAAGCAAGAGCAAACACATTCAAAAGCTAGCAGAAGGCAAGAAATAACTAAGATCACAGAAGAACTGAAGGAGATAGAGACACAAAAAACCCTTCAAAAAATCAATGAATCCAGGAGCTGGTTTTTTGAAAAGATCAACAAAATAGATAGACCGCTAGCAAGACTAATAAAGAAGAAAAGAGAGAAGAATCAAATAGACACAATAAAAAGTGACAAAGGGGATATCACCACCGATCCCACAGAAATACAAACTAGTATCAGAGAATACTATAAACATCTCTATGCAAATAAACTAGAAAATCTAGAAGAAATGGATAAATTCCTGGACACATACACCCTCCCAAGATTAAACCACGAAGAAGTTGAATCCCTGAATAGACCAATAACAGGCTCTGAAATTGAGGCAATAATTAATAGCCTACCAACCAAAAAAAGTCCAGGACCAGACGGATTCACAGCCGAATTCATCAGAGGTACAAGGAGGAGCTGGTACCATTCCTTCTGAAACTATTCCAATCAATAGAAAAAGAGGGAATCCTCCCTAACTCATCTTATCAGGCCAGCATCATCATGATACCAAAGCCTGGCAGAGACACAACAAAAAAAGAGAATTTTAGACCAATATCCTTGATGAACATCGATGCAAAAATCCTCAATAAAATACGGGCAAACCAAATCCAGCAGCACATCAAAAAGCTTACCCACCATGATCAAGTGGGCTTCATCCCTGGGATGCAAGACTGGTTCAACATATGCAAATCAATAAACGTAATCCAGCATATAAACAGAACCAAAGACAAAAGCCACATGATTATCTCAATAGATGCAGAAAAGGCCTTTGACAAAATTCAACAGCCCTTCATGCTAAAAACTCTCAATAAATTAGGCATTGATGAGATGTATCTCAAAATAATAAGAGCTATTTATGACAAACCCACAGCCAATATCATACTGAATGGGCAAAAACTGGAAGCATTCCCTTTGAAAACTGGCACAAGACAGGGATGCCCTCTCTCACCACTCCTATTCAACATAGTGTTGGAAATTCTGGCCAGGGCAATCAGGCAGGAGAAAGAAATAAAGGGTATTCAATTAGGAAAAGAGGAAGTCAAATTGTCCCTGTTTGCAGATGACATGATTGTATATTTAGAAAACCCCATCATCTCAGCCCAAAATCTCCTTAAGCTGATAAGCAACTTCAGCAAAGTCTCAGGATACAAAATCAATGTGCAAAAATCGCAAGCATTCTTATACACCAATAACAGACAAACAGAGAGCCAAATCATGAGTGAAGTCCCATTCGCACTTGCTTCAAAGAGAATAAAATACCTAGGAATCCAACTTACAAGGGATGTGAAGGACCTCTTCAAGGAGAACTACAAACTACTGCTCAATGAAATAAAAGAGGATACAAACAAATGGAAGAACATTCCATGCTCATGGATAGGAAGAATCATTATTGTGAAAATGGCCACACTGCCCAAGGTAATTTATAGATTCAATGCCATCCCCATCAAGCTACCAATGACTTTCTTCACAGAATTGGAAAAAACTACTTTAAAGTTCATATGGAACCAAAAAAGAGCCCGCATTACCAAGACAATCCTAAGCCCAAAGAACAAAGCTGGAGGCATCACGCTACCTGACTTCAAACTATACTACAAGGCTACAGTAACCAAAACAGCATGGTACTGGTACCAAAACAGAGATATAGACCAATGGAACAGAACAGAGCCCTCAGAAATAATACCACACATCTACGACCATCTGATCTTTGACAAACCTGACAAAAAGAAGAAATGCGGAAAGGATTCCCTATTTAATAAATGGTGCTGGGAAAACTGGCTAGCCATATGTAGAAAGCTGGAACTGGATCCCTTCCTTACATCTTATACAAAAATTAATTCAAGATGGATTAAAGACTTAAATGTTAGACCTAAAACCATAAAAACCCTAGAGGAAAACCTAGGCAATACCATTCAGGACATAGGCATGGGCAAGGACTTCATGTCTAAAACACCAAAAGCAATGGCAACAAAAGCCAAAATTGACAAATGGGATCTAATTAAACTAAAGAGCTTCTGCACAGCAAAAGAAACTACCATCAGAGTGAACAGGCAACCTACAGAATGGGAGAACATTTTTGCAATCTACTCATCTGACAAAGGGCTAATATCCAGAATATACAAAGAACTCCAACAAATTTACAAGAAAAAAACAAACAACCCCATCAACAAGTGGGCGAAGGATATGAACAGACACTTCTCAAAAGAAGACATTTATGCAGCCAAAAGACACATGAAAAAATGCTCATCATCCCTGGCTATCAGAGAAATACAAATCAAAACCACAATGAGATACCATCTCACACCAGTTACAATGGCAATCATTAAAAAGTTCAGGAAACCACAGGTGCTGGAGAGGATGTGGAGAAATAGGAACACTTTTACACTGTTGGTGGGACTGTAAACTAGTTCAACCATTGTGGAAGTCAGTGTGGCGACTCCTCAGGGATCTAGAACTAGAAATACCATTTGACCCAGCCATCCCATTACTGGGTATATACCCAAAGGATTATAAATCATGCTGCTATAAAGGCACATGCACGCGTATGTTTATTGCAGCACTATTCACAATAGTAAAGACTTGGAACCAACCCAAATGTCCATCAATGATAGACTGGATTAAGAAAATGTGGCACATATACACCATGGAATACTATGCAGCCATAAAAAAGGATGAGTTCATGTCCTTTGTAGGGACATGGATGAAGCTGGAAACCATCATTCTCAGCAAAGTGTCACAAGGACAAAAAACCAAACACCGCATGTTCTCACTCATAGGTGGGAACTGAACAATGAGAACACTTGGACATAGGAAGGGGAACATCACACACTGGGGCCTGTTGTGGGGTGGGGGGAAGGGGGAAGGAAAGCATTAGGAGATATACCTAATGTTAAATGACAAGTTAATAGGTGCAGCACACCAACATGGCACATGTATACATATGTAACAAACCTGCACACTGTGCACATGTACCCTAGAACTTAAAGTATAATAAAAAATAAAATAAAATAAAATGTCAATAACCCCCTAAAACTTCAACCCCCTTCCTTGCTTTATTTTTAATCCACAGCATTTATCACTCTCAAAAATATACTTAGACATATACTTTTTAATTTCATTGTCTTATTTACTGTTTGCTTCTCCACTCCAATATGAGCTCCCTGAGTGCAGGGATTTGTGTCTGTCTTACATATCACTGCATTCCAGTCCCTAGAACTTCATGTGACACATGGTAAATTCTTAACAATTTATTTGCTGAATTAATGAATTAATGAGTTGGTTGACATTTGCCAATAGCTTAGCTACTGGCTGCTTCCATTCTGTATGAAATTTTAAAGTCTCTCTTGCCCACTGCATTAACTGGGAAAAAAGAAAAATCACAACAAACGTGCTTTTGAAATGGTGGTCACCACAGAAGACAAGTAGCTTATTTATCAACCACTGCAGATGGCAGGTACATGTTTTTCCTTAATTAGGAGAGTTTTTATTAAAGACAAGATAGATAAGTTCTAATATACATACACCTACAAGTTATTGGCTGGATCAAATTATATCATAAAACAAATACCAAAAAGTACATGGAAAAATTGGGGATGTGGCATAAAATCAATAAAAGCACACTAACCCAGATTGTAATAGAAGTGATGCTGGCTGATAAGATCATCATACAGATTCCACCTGGCTAATACTAAAAGGAAATGGACAATGCACACACTCATGAGTAAGTGTACGTGGCAAATCACCACATTAACACTGCTTGACTTAACCTACAGTTGTTAAAATGTAAAATTACCCATCTTAAGGCATGGCTGCTTACATATTAAACTAGTAAAAAATGCATTTAACACTAGTAAAGATCTAAAGGGGCAGGGCTGTCTTCGCATAGATGTATAAAAAGCACTTTATCCCATCCTATAAGCTGGAGGGCTTTGTTTTCATAAAAACCACCAGTTTTAGAATAATCTGTCAATCAAAGCTAAGACTAGACCTTTTGTAATTCTTATCAAATGTAAGTCAAGGACAAATAAAGTACTATTTTATGTCAAATACATCTTTATATAGACATACTCAAGTCACTCACATTAAAACACACACACACACACACACACACACACACACACACACACAGTCTCCCAACCTCAAATTCCTCTCTGTAACACAGCTTCTTGAAATTATTTTCTACATTCACCCTTCCTTTTATTCTACAATTCTTGACCTAATACCCCATTTTTAAGCGTTTTTGCTAAGGGCATCTCCAGGTGACCAAACCGAAAGGACACTTCCCAATCTGCATATCTGCATCTGTCCATAGCATTTGTCCTACTGACCTCCTCTGCTTCTGCAATTCACTAACACCATTTGCTGTGTTCTCTCCCACTTGTCTGACTACTCATGTTTAGTTTTCTGTGAAACTCTGTGTCCTCTTCCCAAATCTTAAATCTGGGGTCACAAAATATTAATAAAATGTCTGCAGGAGCAAGGCAGGGACCCAAAATGAGAGGAGGAGGACACCTGGCCACTGTAACTACTAGGGAACACCGGTCTTGCTGAAGGAGGGCACTGGCCAACTGTTGTCCCTTATCTGTGGGTATCACGTGGCCAGATCACCTAGTTTGTCAAGAACACCAACAAATTTTATTTTTATAAAAAACTTCCCCAATTTTTTAAATGTTGGCAACTATGGTTCTTCCTGTTTTAATATCATCAACCAAGCTGAAGACATCTGCAGCCTGGACACAATCTGCAGGCCTCCAGCTTTGTGTCATCTCCCCACCCAGCCTCACCCACCACCATGGCCTCCTCCTTGTGCCTCTGCTCTTCTCATCAGCCAATGTCATCTGACAGTGGAGCCCAGATGTGCATCTCCAGCCCAGTCTCCCTCTTGCATTCCAGACTCACAGAGCTGCCTACCAGATGTGTCCTTCTGAATGTCCCACTGGGGGCTTACAATAAGCACATCCACATTTTCCCTTCATCCTCTATTCCCTTCATACCCGCTTACTCAGGCCAGACACCTGGAGATCATCCTAGGCTCCTCCTTTTCCCTCGCCACGGAGGCCTGTTGGCAGCCAGCCAGCACTGAGGGCAAGCAAATACACATCCCCATTGCCTCTCAACTCGATTTTTTTTTCTATCCCTCCTGCATCTGCCTTAATCCAGATACTCGGTATTTTTCCACTGGTTCACCACAACAGACACCTAACTGTCCCCCATGCCTTAGGCCTATTTCCATTCCCTACCCTCAATTTCTTCCTTCACACTAAGCTGAAGTTACCCTTAACATGCACATTGGATTAAATTATACCCTACTCACCATACTTAAAGTCCCCACATGGCTCTTTCGGCCTTTAGGGTAAACTCTGGATCCAGAATGCTTGAGTTGGTATCCTGGATTCGGCACTCACTAGCTGTGTGACCTTGGGTCAGTCATTTAGGTTCTTTGAGCTTCAGTTTCCCTATTTATAAAGCATGGATACTAAATATCAGATACCACAGAGAAGTTATGAGGATTAAAAATGAGATAATACAAATAAAACACTCTGTGCTTGGGATATAAAAATGTTCAATTAAATGTTAGCTATTATAATTGTTATTATTATTATTCCTTATCCACTAGCCTTGCCTGTCACAAACCAACTGAAACTCTAGAACAATAAAGAATTAGTGAAAAACAGCCAGACGCGGTGGTTCATGCCTGTAATCCCAGCACTTTAGGAGGCCGAGACAGGCAGATCACCTGAAGTCAGGAGTTCGAAACCAGCCTGGCCAACATGGTGAAACCCTGTCTCTACTAAAAATACAAAAATTAGCCGGGTATGGTGGCACACGCCTGTAGTCCCAGCTATTCAGGAGGCTAAGGCAGGAAAATTGCTTGAACCTGGGAGGCAGAGGTTGCAGTGAGCCAAAATCACGTCACTGCACTCCAGCCTGGGCGACACAGCGAGACTCCATCCCCCACCAAAAATAAAATTAATGAAAATCTCCGAAAATGCTCCAACTTCTCACAACTCCAGGTCTCTGCACTTGTTTGGTCTGCTCAGAATGTCCTTCAAGACTCAGCTCTATCATATTCTCCAGAACCAACCCCAGACCCCAGACCTCTCCCTACCTCAAAACCAGGCTCCCTTCCACTGCATCCCACCTACCAGTACCTGCCTCCATCAGAGTACTTAACTTGCTGAAATGCAGTAGAACAGTTTACTCATTGTCTCCACACTGCACCGTGAGCTCTGCAAAGGTAGGCCTATTTTTTCTTAATTTTTGTATCCTTAATGCCCAGCCAAAAGTAATGAATAAGCAAACAATCTTTTTTAATCCCAAGATCAATGCAGAGAACCAGGCATTAAGATGATTCCCCACTTATGAATGAGGAAATTGAGGTTTCAAATAGTTAAATGGAAAGCAGAGGTGGCAGCCACAGAGACCACGCCCGCTCTCCAATGAGCCCCATACTGGGGAGGCACATCGTACTCTTTGCTTCTGTAGGGGGTGGTTGTTGTCTGTCCTGACACAGCAGGCTCATGCCCTTAAATTCAACTGTATTTTGGCTTTATCTCCCTAAATGAGTGTTTAAACAATACCAATTACTTATATCACCTCATGCCCTTTCTGTGAAGAGCTACAAAACATCTACAAAGCACTGGGATAAATAGAAGAGTCACAGTTTGTTATGGGCTTATCTCTATAAAGTATGTATGTTCAGTCTTCTTTGTAATGTCCATTACAAAATAACTTTTCTGGAAAACCTTTATATAGTGCTTACTTTGTGCCAGGCACTATTTGAAGCATTTTACTTTATGCTACCTAATGCTAGATAAATAGATACTATTATTAGTCCCACTCTGCAAACGAGGATACTGAGGCCTCAGGGGTTAAATAACTTGCCCAGCCAAAAAGAAGTGGAGCTAAGATTTGAATCCAGGAGTGAAAGCACAGATTCTGTAACTACCACTTTCTGTTTGTATAATGTAGCTAAATTATTAGAATTGTTCATTGAGGTTTCTTCATCTGTTGATAAATAGATGATAGATAGATAGATGACTGACAGCAAAAGATAGATGTAATATAATAATAATATAATAAGATAATAGTACCTACATCAAAATTTGATTATAAGAAATAAATGGGTTAATATGTGGATCACATTTATAACAGTGTCTCGCACATTATGTAAGTGCTATATCAATATTTACTATTGTGGTTTTTTTGTTTTGTTTTGTTTTGTCTTTTGTATTTTTGAGACAGAGTCTCACTCTGTCGCCAGGCTGGAGTGCAGTGGTGGGATCTCGGCTCACTGAAACCTCCACCTCCCGGGTTCAAGCGATGCTCCTGCCTCAGCCTCCTGAGCAGCTGGGAATACAGGTGTGCTCCATCACACCCAGCTAATTCTTGTATTTTTAGTGGTGACGGGGTTTCACCATGTTGGCCGGGATGGTCTCGATCTCTTGACCTTGTGATCCACCGGCCTCAGACTCCCAAAGTGCTGGGATTACAGGCCTCAGCCACCGCACCCAGTCTATTGTTATTTTTTCACTAAGTATTGCCAGAGCCCTGAGTGCCATCTGAGAAAGAACTGGAATTGAAAGTACACAGGAAATGCTGCCACCTATTTGATGCTAATTTGACCCACTCTAGGTAGACCTTGGAGCAAGACCAGCCTGCAGCAATACTGGGATGCCAGCAAAGTTGGTCTGCAGGGATTTAGTTTCCTCTGCCCCTTTGAGAACATCCTTGCTCCCTCTCTGAAAATAATGTCCTCGTGTTCTCTCCTTGCGCCCCTTTCAAACCAGTAGGAAAGGCTAGGAGATTAGTCTTTAAACTCTGGTGTGAAGTAAGACCTCTGGATGTTTCCTACATCTATTAGGGTTCTTTGGACACAAGCAGCAGCAACTGGTTGCAGCTAACTCAAACAAATGTAATTTTTTCAGATGGCTATGTGAAGCTCCTAGAACCAAAGAGAAGCCTGAAAAGCCACACCTGGAAACAGGCAGGAGTCAGGGCCCTTCTGAGGAACCTGAAAGTTGAAATTACAGGAATAATCAATATCATTAAAATGGTCATACAACTCAAAGCAATCTACAGATAGATTCAATGCTATTCCTATCAAACTATTAATGTCATTTTTAAAGAATTAGACAAAACTACTTTGAAATTCATATGGAACCAAAAAAAGAGCCTGAATAGCCAAAGCAATCTTAAGCAAAAAAAAAAAAAAAAACCTAGAGGCATCACATTACTGACTTTAAGCTATACTACAAGGCTACAGTAACTAAAACAGCATGGTACTGGTATAAAAACAGACACACAGACCAATGGAAGAGAACAGAGAACCCAGAATTGAAGCCACATACCCACAACCATCTGATCTTCAACAAAGTCAACAAAAATAAGCCATAGGGAAAGGACTCCCTAATCAATAAATGGTGCTGAGATAACTGGCTAACCATATGCAGAAGAACAAATTTGAACCCCTACTTATAACCATGTACAAAAATTAACTCAAGATGGATTAAAGTCTTAAATGTAAGACCTCAAACCATAAAAATCCTAGAAGAAAACCTGGGTTTTCTTTCTAGAAGTCATTTATTAAAGGAAATACCTTTCTCAACATCAGCCTTGGCAAAGAATTTGTGGCTAAGTCCTCAGAAGTAATTTTAACAAAAATAATTGACTAGTGGGACCTAATTAAACTAAGGAGATTCTGCACAGTAAAAGAAACAATCAAAGAGTAAACAGACAGCCTATAGAATGGGAGAAAAAAATTGCAAATTATGCATCTGACAGAAGACTAACATCCAGAATCTATAAGAAATTTAAATTGACAACAAAGAACAAATAACCCCATTAACAGACACTTCTCAAAAGAGGACATACAAGTGGCCAACAAACATATGAAAAAATGCTCATCATCACCGATGATCAGAGAAATGCTGGCAAGGTTGCTGAGTACACACTGTTGCTGGGAATTTAAGTTAGTTCAGCCATTGTGGAAAGCAGATTGGAGATTTCTCAAAGAACTTAAAACAGAACTACCATTCAACTCAGCAGTCTCATTACCGGTATATCCAAAGAAAATAAACATTCTACCAAAAAGACGCATGCATTTGTATGTTCTTCATGGTCTAATCACAATAGCAAAGACATGGAATCAACCTAGTTGCCCATCAACAGTGGATTGGATAAAGGAAATGTGCTACATATACACCATGGAATATTACACAACTGTAAAAAAGAACAAAATCATGTCCTTTGCAGCAACATGAATGCAGCTAAAGGCCATTATCCTAAGAGAATTAACACAGAAATAGAAAATCAAATACCACATGTTCTCACTTATGTGAGTGGGAGCTAAATATTGGGTAAAGATGGACATAAAGATGGGAACAATAAACAATGTGGACTACTGATGGGGGAGGTAGCAAGGGGGGCAAGGGTTGAAAAACTACCTATTTGGTATTATGCTCACTACCTGGGTAACTGGTCCCATCATACCCCAAACCTCAGCATCAAGCAATATACCCAGGTAAACAAACCTGCACACATACTCCCTGAACCTGAAATAAAAGTTGAAAAAATGAAAAAAAGAAACTATAGGAATAATTTATAGAGGAAGAGATCTCTTCAGAGAGCCAGCATAGGAAAGAACTCACTCTAGAGGTCTCTTCCATTCTCAAGTCACTCAACTGACAGTATCAGACTGGCTGAGCCCATACCACCTGTCCACCCAGTGGCTATACTGGGGCAGGGAGAAGAAGCTGGCAGAAGGAACCTCTTGGGAGATCTTCACAGTTACTTACAAAGTCAATATTCAACAGTGCAGTATAATTACCCAAAGGGAATTAGGGGGACCTCAGGAAGATGAAACAGACATGTGGCCAAAAATTCCACTCAATCTTCCCAGAATTCTCAATTCCAAAAAAAAAAAAGAGTCTAAGGAATTTCAGCCATCAAGGAACAAAACCAATTAACTATCTGGGTGACAGAGGCCCGTCTCCAATGCCCCCAAAGTCACACCAGTACATAAGCCAGTGACATCATTTTGCTTCTACTTGTAATGCCCTTTGCCCCTCCGTGGATGGCTAGAGGGACTTTTCTAAACTATAAGTCACAGGCCAGGCACAGTGGCTCACAACTGTAATCCCAGCACTTTAGGGGGGCTGAAGCAGAAGAATCATTGCTTGAGTCCAGGAGTTCAAGACCAGTCTGGGCAACACAGCAAGATCCCACCTCTACAAAAAAATAAAAATAAAAAATGAGTCAGATGTGGTGGTACCAGCCTATAGTCCCAGCTATTCAAGAGGCTGAGGTGGGAGGATCGCCTGAGCCCAGGAGTTGAAGGCTGTAGTGAACTATGATTGTGCCACTGCACTCCACTGGGCAACAGAGTGAGCCCATCTCTAAAAAATAAAAAGAAATAAACAAAAGAAATAAAAACATAGGTCAGAATATGCCAATACTCTATGTAAATCTTCAATAGCTTCCCAGCATCTTCAGGATGGAGTCTAAACTCTATCCTGTCTGTTTGGCCTCAGCATCCACCAATATACCTCATACCTCTGCCTTACTCCATCAAATTATTTACCATCCCCAGCTGCACCACACACTCTCCCTTCCAAACCTCATCGAAGCTGTTCTCTCTGATTGAAGTGTCCTTTTCCCTTCTTTTCCAGTTAACTCCAGTTCTGTCTTCAAGAAATCAGTCCAAATGTCGCCTCTTCCAGGAAACTTTCCCAGTGTACTCCCTTCCTTCCCTCATACACGCACCTAATGCTACACAAGCACCTCACCTTTGTGCCTGCAGAATGGTATTTCTTGGCAATATCACTGACATATGGTGGCATCAGTGCCTGCTACACAGTAAACACGTGGGAGATGTCCAGTGAAAGTTTACTAAATGAACATTCCACTTAAAGGAAAAAACAAGGGTTTTCCTGCTCAAAATGTTGTGGAGAGGGCTGCTTGGGAGGTACCTTCTCACCATATTGGCTTTCTTAGGGACTCCAGGACATGGTGATTCAATGTCTGACTAAGCTGTTGTTTTTCTATACCCCATCTGAGCACCTGACATGTTGTAGAATTTCCAAAGGATTTTAGAAAAGTGTTTATTGCTGCTAGAAGAAAACAGAGTGGTTTTTGCCAAGCTATATAAATCTTCAGCATATTTACAGCAAAACTCTCAGAGGGCGAAGTGTCTATTGCTGTAGTATGTTGCCAGAGTGACTATTTACTTCATGAGGTTAAAAAAAAAGCTTTACTTAACTTTTTAAAAGATATAATAAATATGATGGTTTATATAGCATCTAGACCATTCTTTGGAAGGTAGTGAAAATGTGTTTATGCTTCACAAACATCCGTATCCAGTCCCTGAAAACTATCCTGGGAGGATTTTTTAAACGCTTTGCCCAGAACTATCAATTATAACTAATCCTACACTTCATCAATATAAAAAAATTATAAAATAATGAGATCCCCAGGCAATGCAAGTCAAAAAAGTTTTAAATTTGACTTATTAAAATGAATTCTCACACCTATCCTTTCTCCAGCCCATTTTCTAAATTCACCCAGCTCTCTGAGTTTCCAAGTTCTCCATACAAGAAAGAACAAGGTAGAATTGAGCTGAGGAAGCAAAGGAGGTCTTTGGAAGAACACCCACACCCTCCAACAAGCCCAGCAGTGATGTTAGCCGGCTCAGGGCCAAGCCTCAGGAGATGGCTGTAGGCACCATCTCTGAACAGGTGCAGGCTTTCCTTCTGCCATGCAGAAAGTTCTCACTCCACAGCAAATACAAATGCACACTTGGGAAAAACAAACCCCAGGCAATCTGGAGTAAAACGTGGCTTTCTCTACCTGATGTTCACAATCAAAGTTTCTGTGAGTTTCCTACTGAAGTCAGTTTAACAAGGGAAATTTGAAATAGTTCCACACTCAATCTATTTGGTGGTATCTGAAGAAGGTCACAGTAGAATGGCCTGAACAGGGTTTGTGGAGGACTGTTATTGTCTGTTACACAAAAAAATATAATATGCTCTTTTGTGGTTTGTCTACTTACATCAAATTAGCTAAGCAGTCCACATTAGTGAGCACTGCCCCATCTAGGGTGTGTGTTTGCATGGATGGGTGTGTGGTGCAAGTGTGTGGCCCCCTTCCTAGGAGAGAAAACTCATCTCCTCCCTTCTACATCATATAGTGCTCCGGTCCTGGTACTCAAAACCATGTCACTGTGCACTCATTAGGGCTTATATCTGCTTTGGTGGGGCAGTCTGAAACCTAATCCTAGTGTCTAATGATGTCTGCATGGAAATTGTTTCTGAGTTGCTCACATAACATAAATGAAGGACTGTAAAACAGGGCTTGCTTATGTATTCTTAACTCCATTGATGTGGGTTATAGGGATGACTGGTAAAAAGCAACTAAAAGCAAATCTACTGGAATTCAGGGCCACATTAAACTGTCCATCCTGTACTCTTTACTTCAAACCCCCATACATAGATATATTAAAAAAAAAAAAAAAAAAAAAAAAAACTGGCTCCTGGGATCATGGCAGAGGGGAGGAAGGACTAGATTGCAGCTCCGGCATGTGGAGGCTCGCATTGTGAATTTTAGCTTCAGATTGGCTGCAAGAACAAATCAGAAATACTGAGAGGACCACAGACCCTCTGAAGGAAGCGGACTGCTCCTGCAGGACCCAGGAGACCCACAAATACTGTGAGTGCCCCAACTGCGGAAGTGGGAAAGGTAGACCCTCCTCCCCCAAACACACACCCCCAGTGGAGAAGCTGAAGGTCTGTTTGCAGGAGAAGTTTCCAACTTTACCTGGAGCTGAGTCAAGTTAGAGAGCCGAGCGAAATACAGAGGAAGCAGCAGAAAAGCCCTGGGAGCTCACTGGGTCCCCAAGCAGTCCATTCCTGCCTGGCACCACGGGGATCCATCATGAGGGTGCCCAGAGATGCAGGGGGTAAAATTCAACAAGGAGAAGGAATTCTCTAGGCAAACTCTGTAACAATTTGAACGGGGCGAGAAGCCCCCTGGCCAGAACTCAGGAGAGGTTGCGAATCCTAATCCGGCATGCAGACTTCACAGGCCAGGAAGAATTAAAGCCCTTTCTTTCTCAGCTGGGAGGCAGATGGCCTCGGGCAAGTTTTCAAGACCCTCTCACTCTCCACCTGGAAACAGACTCCAGGCTGTAGGAGGGGACAGGGTGGGAGTGGGACCGGCCCTTCAGTTTGCATGGGAACTGGGTGAGGCCAGTGACTGCCAGCTTTCCCCCACTTAACTGAAAACCTGCATGACTCAGCAGAGGCAGCCATAGGTACACAACTCCAGTGACCTGGGAATCTCACCTCCATCCCCCACAGCAGCCACAGCAAGACCCACCCAAGGAGAGTCTGAGCTCAGACACATGTGCCTGGCCCTACCCCCACCTGATGGTCCTTTCCTATCCACCTTGGTAATGGAAGACAAAGGGCATATAATCTTGAGAGTTCTAGGGCCCCACCCACTGCTGGTTCCTCCCCATACTAGCACAGCTGAAAGTGCCGCCTCCTGGCAGGCGGCCAACCAGTAAAAAAATAGAGCATTAAACCACCAAAGCTAAGGATCCTCATGGAGTCCATTGCACCCTCCGCTACCTCCACTGCAACAGGCACTGGTATCCACGGCTGAGAGACCCATAGACAGTTCATATCACAGAACTCTGTGCAGGCAACCCCCAGGACCAGCCCAGAGCTGGGCAGACTCGCTGGGTGGCTAGACCCAGAAAAGAGACAACAATCACTGCAGTTCAGCTCACAGGAAGCCACATTCATAGGAAAAGGGGGAGAGTACTACATCAAGGGAACACCCAGTGGGACAAAAGAATCTGAACAACAGCCTTCAGCCCTAGACCTTCCCTCTGACAGAGCCTACCCAAAGGAGAAGGAACCAGAAAATCAACTCTGGTACTATAACAAAACAAGGCTCTTCAACACCCCCCAAAAAATCACACTAGTTCACCAGCAATGGGTCCAAACCAAGACAAAATCCCTGAGTTACCTGAAAAAGAATTTGGGAAGTTAGTTATTAAGCTAAACAGGGAGGGACCAGAGAAAGGTGAGGCCCAATGCAAGGAGATCCAAAAAACAAATGATACAAGAAGTGAAGGAAGAAATATTCAAGGAAATAGATAGCTTAAAAAAAAAACAATAAAAATTTCAGGAAACTTCAGACCCACTTTTAGAAATGTGAAATGCTCTGGAAATTCTCAGCAATAGAATTGAACAAGCAGAAGAAAGAAATTCAGAGCTCGAAGACAAGGTCTTCGAATTAACCCAATCCAACAAAGACAAAGAAAAAAGAATAAGAAAATGTGAACAAAGCCTCTAAGAAGTATGGGATTATGTTACATGACCAAACCTAAGAATAATTAATGTTCCTGAGGAAGAAGAGAATTCTAAAAGCTTGGAAAACATATTTGGGGGAACAATAAAGGAAAACCTCCCCGGCCATGCTAGAGACCTAGACATCCAAATCCAAGAAGCACAAAGAACACCTGGAAAATTCATCATAAAAAGATCTTCACCTAGGTACACTGTCAACAGGTTACCCAAAGCTGAGACAAAGGAAATAATTTTAAGAGCTGTGAGACAGAAGCACCAGGTAACCTATAAAAGAAAATCTATCAGATTAACAGCAGATTTCTCAGCAGAAACCCTGCAAGCTAAAAGGGACTAGGGCCATATCCTCAGTCTCCTCAAACAAAACAATTATCAGCCAAGAATTTTGTATCCAGCAAAACTAAGCATCATATATAAAGAAAAGATAGTCTTTTTGAGACAAACAAATGCTGAGAGAATTCGCCATTACCAAGCCACCACTATAAGAACTGCTAAAAGGAGCTCTAAATCTTGAAACAAATCCTGGAAACACATCAAAACAGAACCTCTTTAAAGCAAAAATCACACAGGACCTGCAAAACAAAAATACAAGTTAAAAAGCAAAAACAAACAAACAAACAAAAAAACTACACAGGCAACAAAGAGCACGATGAATGCAATGGTACCTCACATTTCAATACTAACATTGAATGTAAATGACCTAAATGCTCCACTTAAAAGATACAGAACTGCAAACTGAATAAGAATTCACCAACTATCTGCTGCTTTCAGGAGACTCACCTAACACATAAGGAATCACAGAAACTTAAAGTAAAGGGGTGGAAAAAGACATTTCATGCAAATGGACACCAAAAGTGAGCAGGTGTAGCTATTCTTATATCAGACAAAACAAACTTTAACAGCAGTTAAAAGAGACAAAGAGGGACATTATAAAAGGCCTTGCCCCACAGGAAAATATCACAATCCTAAACATATATGCACCAAACACTGAAGCTCCCAAATTTATAAAACAATTACTAACAGATCTAAGAAGTGAGCTAGACAGCAACAATATCAGGGGACATCGATACTCTACTGACAACACTAGACAGGTCATCAAGACAGAAAGTCAACAAAGAAACAACGGATTTAAACTATACCTTGGAACAAATGGACTTAACAGATATATACAGAACATTTCATCCAACAACCACAGAATACACGTTCTATTCAATGCATGGAACTTTCTCCAAGATAGACCATATGATGGGCCATAAAATGAGCCTCAATAAGTTTAAGAAAATTAAAATTATGTGAAGCACTCTCTCAAACCACAGTGGAATTAAACTGGAAATCAACTCCAAAAGGAAACTTCAAAACCATGCAAATACATGGAAATTAAATAACCTGCTCCTAAATGAGCATTGGGTCAAAAATGAAATCAAGATGGAAATTTAAAAATTCTTCAAACTGAATGACAATGATGACACAAACTATCAAAACCTCTGGGATACAGCAAAGGCAGTGTTAAGAGGAAAGTTCATAGCCCTAAGTGCCTACCTCAAAAAGTCTGAAAGAGCACAAACAGACAATCTAAAGTCACACCTCAAAGAACTAGAGAATCTAGAACAAACCAAACCCAACCCCCGCAGAAGAAGGAAATAACCAAGATCAGAGTAGAACTAAATGAAATTGAAACAAAAAAAAAAAAATACAAAAGATAAATGAAACAAAAAGCTGGTTCTTTGAAAAGATAAATAAAATTGGTAGACCATTAGCAAGATTAACCTAGAAAAGAAGAGAGAAAATCCAAATAACCTCACTAAGAAACGAAGCAGGAAATATTACAACTGACACCACTGAAATACAAAAGATCATTCAGGGCTACTATGAACACCTTTACTCACATAAACTAGAAGACATAGAAGAGATGGATAAATTCCTGGAAAAATACAACATTCCTAGCTTAAATCAGGAAGAATTAGCTACCCTGAACAGACTAATAACAAGCAGTGAGATTGAAATGGTAATTTTTAAATTGCCAAAAAAACAGTCCAGGACCAGATGGATTCACAGCAGAATTCTACCAGACATTCAAAGAAGAATTGATACCAATCCTTTTGACACTATTCCACAAGATAGAGAAAGAAGGAATCCTCCCTAATTCATTCTATGAAGCAAGGATCACCCTAATACCAAAACCAGGAAAGGATATAACCAAAAAAGAAAACTACAGACCGATATCCTTGAAGAACATAGATGCTAAAATCCTTAACAAAATACAGCTACCTGAATCCAACAACATAAAAAAGATAATCCACCATGATCAACTGGATTTCATACCAGGGATGCCAGGATGGTTTAACATATGCAAGTCAATACATGAGATATACCACATAAACAGAATTAAAAAACAAAAATCACATGATCATCTCAATAGATGCAAAAAAAGCATTAGACAAAATCCAGCATCGTTTATGATTAAAACTCTCAGCAAAATCGGCATACAAGGGACATACCTTAATGTAATAAAAGCCATCTATGACAAACCCACAGCCAACATAATACTGAATGGGGAAAAGTTGAAAGCATTCTCTCTGAGAACGGGAACAAGACAAGGATGCCCACTCACACCACTCCTCTTCAACATAGTAGTGGAAGTCCTAGCCAGAGCAATCAGACAAGAGAAGGAAATAAAGGGCATCCAAATTGCTAAGAAAGAAGTCAAACTGTCACTGTTTGCTGGTGATATGATCGTTTACCTTGAAAATTCTAAGGACTCCTCCAGAAAGCTCCTAGAGCTGATAAAAGAATTCAGCAAAGTTTCTGGATACAAGATTAATGTACACAAATCAGTAGCTCTTCTATACACCAACAGCGACCAAGCGGAGAATCAAATCAAGAACTCAACCCCTTTTACAATAGCTGCAAAAAAAATAAAATACTTAGGAATATACCTAACAAAGGAGTCAAAAGACTTCTACAAGGAAAACTACAAAACACCGCTAAAAGGAATCATAGACAAGACAAACAAATGGAAACACATCCCATGCTCATGGATGGGTAGAATCAACATTCTGAAAATGACCATACTGCCAAAGGCAATCTACAAATTCAATGCAATCCCCATCAAAATACCACCATCATTCTTCACAGACTTAGAAAAAACAATTCTAAAATCCATATGGAACCAAAAAAGAGCCCATATAACCAAAGCAAGACTAAGCAAAAAGAACAAATCTGGAGGCATCACACTACCTGATTTCAAACTATACTATAAGGCCATAGTCACCAAACAGCATGGTACCGGTATAAAAACAGGCACATGGACCAATGGAACAGAATAGAGAACCCAGAAATAAACCCAAATACTTACAGCCAACTCATCTTTAACAAAGCAAACAAAAACATAAAGTGGGGAAAGAACACCCTTTTCTTTATATATATATATATATATATATATATATATATATATATATATACATTTTTTTTATTATACTTTAAGTTCTAGGGTACATGTGCACAACGTGCAGGTTTGTTACATATGTATACATGTGCCATGTTGGTGTGCTGCACCCATTAACTCATCATTTACATTAGGTATATCTCCTAATGCTATCCCTCCCCTCTCCCCCCACTCCACACCCTTTTCAATAAATGGTGCTGGGATAATTGGGTAGCCACCTGTAGGAGAATGAAATTGGATCCTCATCTCTCATCTTATACGAAAATCAACAAGATGTATTAAGGACTTAAACCTAAGACCTGAAATTATAAAAATTCTAGAAGATAGCATTGGAACAATAACAAAAATTCTAGAAGATAACAATGGAAAAACTCTTCTAGATATTGGCTTAGGCAAGGATTTCATGACCAAGAACCCAAAAGCAAATGCAATAAAAACAAAGATAAATAGCTGGGACCTAATTAAACTAAAGAGCTTTCACATGGCAAAAGGAACAGTCAGCAGAGTAAACAGACAACCCACAGAGTGGGAGAAAATCTTCACAATCTATATATCTGACAAAGGACTAATATCCAGAATCTACGACAAAAACAAACTCAAACAAATCAGCACAAAAAAAACAAAAAATCCCATCAAAAAGTGGGCTAAGGACATAAATAGACAATTCTCAAAAGAAGATATACAAATGGCCAACAAACATATGAAAAAATGCACAACATCGCTAATGATCAGGGAAATGAAATAAAAACCACAATGTGATACCACTTTACTCCTGCAAGAATGGCCATAATAAAAAAATCAAAAAACAGTAGATGTTGAAGTGGATGTGGTGAACAGGGGACACTTCTACACTGCTGGTGGGAATGTAAACTAGTACAACCACTATGGTAAACAGTGTGGAGATTCCTTAAAGAACTAAAAGTAGAACTACCATTTGATCCAGCAATCTCACTACTGGGTATCTACCCAGAGGAAAAGAAGTCATTATTCAAAAAAGATACTTGCACACATGTTTATAGCAGCACAATTCACAATTGCAAAATCGTGGAACCAACCCAAATGCCCATCAATCAATGAGTGGATAAAGAAACTGTGATATATATATAGATACAGAGATAGATAGATAGATAGATAGATAGATAGATAGATAGATAGATAGATCATATGATAGAATACAACGCAGCCATAAAAAGGAATGAATTAACAGTATTTAAAGTGACCTGAATGAGATTGGAGACTATCATTCTAAGTGAAGTAACTCAGGAATGGAAAAATCAAACATCGTATGTTCTCACTGATATGTGGGAGCTAAGCTATGAGGATGCAAAGGCATAAGAATGATACAATGGACTTTGGGGACTCAGGGGGAAGAGTGGGAGTGGGGGAGGGATTAAAAGAGTACAAATATTGTGCAGTGTATACTGTTCAGGTGATATGTGCACCAAAATCTCACGAATCACCACTAAAGAACTTACTCATGTAACCAAATACCACCTGCACCCAAATAACTTATGGAAAAATAAAAACAATAATAATAATAGAAGAGAAAAAATAATAAAATAAAAATTACATGAGAAAGCAACGTGTGCTGCTTTAAGTCTAGAGAGGCTGGGAGAAGAAAATTCGGTTCTCATCACCAAAAAGATGCACCATGCTGACATTCAATTTCTAATTACATCAACAAGTCTGGGGAACCTGCTTAAAAAACAAAGTTCTCAGGTTTTGCATAAACTTTCACAAGACTCCTATGTTCACATCTTAAAAGAGCCTACTTTGTAGGAATTGTGATTTAAGGAGAAGATGAGAGGGCATGGGGACCCTGATACCTTTTTACACTGTGGCAAAGGTGGGTAGGTGGGTGGGTGGATGGATGGATGGATGGATGGATGGATGGATGGATGGACATTTAAATGGGTGGTGGAAGAATGGGATGGATGGATGGATGGATGGATGGATGGATGGACGGACGGATGGATGGGGACACCCAGATGAACACTGCCATACATGGTACTTTCCTTTCTTTTTACCCTTTCATCCCAGAGGAGACAAGCTCTGTCATGGAAGCTCAAGCCTGAGCCTCAGGGCTGAATCTCATCTTCGTAACATCTGAGCACCAAGGGAAGACTGGGGTCTTACATCAGTGGCCTCACGAAGGTACCATACTTAGAAAACTCAGATCTTAAAAACCCACAAAAAAAATACTTCCAAGAAGTGTTTTGTCTGAACTCAAAGACAAGAATAATGAAATGCCTTTGCTACAACATCTCCACTCAATCCAAATCTACAAACAACAGTATTCAACCATGAAGTTCTCCCATCTCTTTGGCCAGTTACATTTTTATCTCAAGTAAATCATAGGAAATGCTTTTCGGTTCACCATGGCATGTCCATCAGGACTTAGGAAAGCCAATCCAGTGCATAGCAGAATAAAAGTAAAAAATATATAAGCATGTTGAAGCCCCAAATTTAGTCTGCTGGCATTCTTTTATCTCTATACACTAATTATTTGTCAGGATTTAAGCCAGCATTCCTAAAGTCCAGAGGCAGCAAATGACTTGACTGATTTTTGGAATAACTTTCCGTTCTATGGCCCTGTTTGTTTGTTTGTATTTGTTTTTTTGACATGGAGTCTCGCTCTGTTGCCCAGGCTCTATGGCCCTATTTATACTCTCATTCCCTACAACTACAAATTGATCACTGGATACTCTATCCTTCTTTAATGCCCCATCAGGTTATCTGTGACGGTCATTATTGATGTTTAGGCCAGTATATTCTGTTAAATGTGATGTGATGGCTAATTTTATGTGTTAACTTGGCTGGGTCACAGGGTGCCCAGACATTTGGTCAAACATTATTCTCAGTGTTTCTGTGAGGGTATTTTGGAAGAGACTGGCATATAAATTGGTAGACTTTGAGTAAAGCAGACTGCCCTCTATAATGCTGGTGGGCTTCATTAAATCAGCTGAAAGCCTGAACAGAACAAAAAGCCTGGACCCCCTCAAACAGGAAAGAATTTTCTAGCAGCCTGCCTTTGGACTTCATTGTAACATCAGCTCTTCCAGGCTGTATAGCAACTGCCTCCAAACTTGAAGTGGAGTGTTGGCTCTCCTGGGTTTCCAGCCTGCTGGCCCATCCGGCAAATTTTGGACTTGCCAGTCTCCATAATTGCGTGAACCAATTTCTTAGAATAAATCTCTTTCTACACATATGCACAGCCTATTGGTTCTGTTTGTCTAGAAAACTCTAACACAAATGGGTTCTCAGAAAACAGACCAGATGTACCTCTCTTATCATCTTTTTAACAGATATCCATGCGTACAGAGGAAGCGTCTCATGCAATGAAGAAGACCAGGTAAGGAGGAGTCCCACTGAAACACAAAAAGTGGCTCATAACCATGCCCAGGACTCTCCATCAGTCCTTATCCCATCTACATTGGAAGGGTTACTGTCTCCTCACCACTAGACTTTATTATTAGTGTCTCTCTATTTAAGCTAATTTGAAAGCAGCTTATCCATGATCAACAATGAGCAAATGCTTAGAATCCTACCACAAATGTTCCTACATCCCCATTCATAGTTCTGCTAATTCAATTTATAAAAAATAACCCACATTAACACATATAAATAATGCTATTAAAGAACATTGCAGGAAGACTGCATTTTTAAAAAAATTATAAAATCACCAGGCAGTGAGGAAAAAAAAAAAAAAAAAACAACAGGGAAGGACAAGCAATATGCTCAGTTACCCAGATTTGGCGACAGAACCAAAGCTAGGATTCAAATGTCTAATCTTCTAGAAGTACTCAAAGTGATATGCTTAAAGTTACCTAGATTTTGAGATAAAGCCAGAGATAGGATTCAAATGTCTAATGTTCTAGAAGTGCTATAACTCTATACACAGAGGTATATATCTGTTAATTTACCAACGAGCTGGACTCACATCCCTAACCTCAGCCAAGGTTGCCTTCCACATAGACACAAACCTGCCCCTACACCCATCCTGTCTCTCTGCTCCCTTTCACAACCAAGCTTTATGTGTATGGTCTGCACTTCCTCACCTCCATTCATCTTTCAACCCAGGCCAATCTCACTTTAGGTTCCACTTCTGCAACACACAACACACCTCCAAACGAGGCTTCTGCTTCCCATGCTTGTACCTCTTCAGTCTATTCTTCTATCTGTTCTTCACAGCCTTCCCAGGCAATCTTGTATAAATTTAAATTGGCTTGTGACACTCACCTTCTGCAAATCCATTTTTCACAGCCCTCAGAATAAACCATAAGACCTTGAACTTGACCTAAAGGGCACAGCTTGATCTGACCCCAGCCCTCTTCTTTTTAAATATATATATATATATATATATATATATATATATATTTTTTTTTTTTTAATTATACTTTAAGTTCTAGGGTACATGTGCACAACGTGCAGGTTTGTTACATATGTATACATGTGCCATGTTGGTGTGCTGCACCCACTAACTCGTTATTTACATTAGGTATATCTCCTAATGCTATCCCTCCCCCCTCCCCCCACCCCACAACAGGCCCTGGTGTGTGATGTTCCCCTTCCTGTGTCCAAGTGTTCTCATTGTTCAATTCCCACCTATGAGTGAGAACATGCAGTGTTTGGTTTTTTGTCCTTGCGATAGTTTGCTGAGAATGATGGTTTCCAGCTTCATCTATGTCCCTACAAAGGACATAAACTCATCCTTTTTTATGGCTGCATAGTATTCCACGGTGTATACGTGCCACATTTTCTTAATCCAGTCTATCATTGTTGGACATTTGGGTTGTTTCCAAGTCTTTGCTATTGTGAATAGTGCCGCAATAAACATACGTGTGCAGGTGTCTTTATAGCAGCATGATTTATAATCCTTTGGGTATATACCCAGTAATGGGATGACCCCAGCCCTCTTCTACAACCTCCTCCCAGCTGTTCCCACCCTTGTTCTCTTGAAGTTCCTGCATAGAACAAAAAGAGGCTCAATGCTCATTCCTGCCTTAGAATCCTCAGCCTGGAATTATCTTTCTCCCACTCTTCACTTAATGGACTCCTTTTATCACTCAAAATGAAATGTCTCTTCCTCAGAAAGGTCTTCTCTGACCCTCTCATCTAAACTAGTGCCTCCCTACCCTTGTTACTCTCTCCCATGAAGTCCTTTAGAGAACTTACCACTACTTAAATTTTGCATTGGTTTGTTTAATGCCTGTCTCCCTCCCACTTCTCACCCCACCCCACCCCACCCCAACCCCCCACCGTTTCCTTTACCACAGTATACCCAGCACCTAGCATAGTACATAACATCATGTAAGTACTCAAATACTTGTTGAATGAATGTATGCACGGATTTGAATATATAATGAGAATACATATATGTGACTATATAAGTTAATCATTATGTCACCTTTGGTGAGCATCTGGTAAGTCCTCGGATGGCTGATTAGTAGAATACTCAGCAAGATACTTCATTCATTTGGCACTTCACCAAACTCACTGAGGCTGGCTGCTGCCAACATTAACTGCTTAACTGTAACATTATTGGCTAAAAGCAGATCTTATGCCTTTATCGTTCAATACTTGTGCAACTGAAGACAATATTTATACAGTATCTCCTCAAAGCAAATCGTAGTGCAAGGCTGTGCAGGATTCCAAAGAGAATGAGACCTCTTGCCCACAAGAAAAATACCACAACCTAGCCTAGTAACTATTTTAGCTTATTAAAGAGTTTACTTTTATAATGTGTAGATTTTGATCCTCTTAACAACTGTGAAAAAAAAGTATAATGTGCAGATATGCTAAAAAGTTTCAAAAGATGATCTAGAGAAATGATAAAGAAAAACAGGGATGAAAATTCTAAATCAGTTTCTACATTTTGTTGTACATTTTAAGCCTTGTTATTATGTTCATGATAATTGAGTATTCACTCCAGGCTTCACAAAACAGCAGGCCCCTGAAACAATAAAACAACAACACTCTTCTCCTCTTTCTCCTCCTCCCCAGCTTGTACTTACTCCCCATCCCCTGCCTCCAATAAGCACCCACAGTAGTCAAGACCAGCAAGCAAAGGCCAGGTCCAGGATGAAATTCAAACTCAGTTCCCCACTCCCCAAGGACTCTCGATAGCTCACTCCCTCCTGTTCTGCTCTCTAGCTCCAGAGAGAAGTGAGGCAGAAAGATGCTGGACTTAAAGTCAGAAGACCCCTGACTGTGTCCAAGTTCAAGGCTCAGTTTGCCTTAATTTCTTCATCAGCAATATGGGCTTCCTAACTTCTGTCCCACCTATAGCTTATAACTCTCAGTTGCTCTGAGGACTGGAATGAGATATCCCATGTGAAAGTTCCTACAAACCACAATAGGTTATACAAATGTGACCGAGTCATTGTGATTTTTATCAGGACTTAAACATTTAGCATCTTGTATTGTTCTATCTTGTCTCACTGATCTGGAGTCTCCAGATCCACTATAAGTTCAAGCTCAGAGACCATGTCATAGATTCTGCCTACCTTCATTGCCTGTAGTACTGGGCACTTAGCACCCATACAATAAGCACTTGTGAATTGGTCACTGGTTGATTTACTTGACAAATTTGCGTCGGAGTACAAAGTGTTCTGTGGTTTTTCTGAATTTCTTATATTGATAAACACATTTTCTGAAACTCACCATAATGTTTCCCTGGCCCATGATCTTTATGGTTTATCTTCCTTTTTTCCTAACCAGCTGGGCAGAATTTCACCGAAAAGCAGACCATTTTGTCAAAGGCAAAAATAATATTTTGCTAACGCAGTCTTTGAGATTCCTTTTAAGGCTGAGACATGGGACCCAAAAGTCACTTGGTAACTGTAAGCCCCCTCTGTCACTGTTCAACAAATGTAGTCCGAGATCCCACTAAGCACAGGGAACAGTGTTGGAACTGTAGGAATAAATGAGGAAAACTGAATCTCACAGTGGCTCTGCAGTCAGACTGCAAGGGATAGAATCCTAGCTTCACCTTTTCCGGGCTGGGTGACCTTGTACAAGTTACTCAGTTTGTCTCTCTTTCCTCCTGTAAAATACGGTGATAATAGAACCTACCATCCTAAGATTGTCATCAGGATGAAGTGAGTTCATACATGTAAAAGCTTTTAGCTTTTAGTGCCTAGTACAGCGTAACAACAAATATTAGAGATCTAGGTCAGTGCAGCTAAACAGACCAAGACCCAGATTAGCAAAATGACATGTCAAGTCAAGGAGCCATAAAGAAATAGATATCACAGCTGGAAACTGGGTCCCCACATCCTATTCTCTTCTCTATGATGTTTCTTTGTGGGTATTTCACACAGGTGGCACTCTGGAAGATGCACTTTCCTGACACCTGATAAGCAGAGTCAATAAACACACCCACCTTCTCTGCTTCAACATACCCTGCAGAGTCGTCCTTCCTCCTAGTGAGACCTCAGGCCCACCATTTCCCACTGGCCTCCCATCTGACTCAACATGCACCTGGGGGGTTCCATCTACTGCTGGCTCCCACAGCAATACTGCAGTGAAGAAAGCAAGCATCACATCCTCATGCAGTTGTTATGGGAATTAAATGAGATAATGCCTGGAAAAGTGCCTAGCAGAGTATCTGATATATAGTATGCAGCTAATAAATGTTATCTATTAAAAAATAGAAGGAAAAGGAGGAGGAAAACCCTGTGGTGCCTACTCTCTCAAAGCTGACACACATTCCAATGGCAAATGCCAGACACAGGGCAGATTGAGATGGGTGGTAGAACAGAGGGATGCACGTCTGTGAAGAATTACAGTGAAGGGCAAAACCCACTGAAGACAGGAGGGAGCTGCAGTTCCCACTCTCCCCCTTCCTTCTTAAAAGAAGATGATGATACTCAGTTGGTGCTTTGCTGGCAAACTCAAGCTCCAGAGCTTTGGATTTTTAATATTATAATATTTCAGAACAGAACAAAGACTGCTTCTGACCTCCCAATTTGCCCTCATACACTTGACCAGCAAAACCTTAGCGTAGCTGCATTCATCAATGGCTCTATTCAGGCAATTATGGGTCAGACAAAAGATTCAATTAATACTGATCCCGCAAGTCTCCTTAGTATATTCACAACATGCTTTGGATTCAGAGTTCTATGGCACCTTCATATGACCTTCTCCGGATCCCAATATTGACAATTCCTAGTTCAGAAACGACAAACATAATATTAGAACAAGAGAAGAAGGGAAGCTGGTGAGAAAGAAAGAACAGACTAGACTGGGTGCAGAAATTATATCATCCATTTGCTGTCTGTCCCCGAGTGCATCCTGGGGCCTGGCCCATGGCGGGCTGGTTGGAAATGCATACTGAACGAGTCAATCTCCTCAAGAAGGTCACCACCCAGGTAAGAAGTGGAGCCTGCACATTACACCAAGTTCAGCTAGAGAATCAAAGCCACCTCTTCGGCTCCAGATATGCAGGGAAGACAAAGCACGAGGGCATATGCCTTCAGCTAAGAGATAGGTGCGTGCTTCCTGTTTACCTGGGCAGGTATTTGCAAATAGTCTAAGAAGGGGGGCAACTAGGAGTGACTTACACAGTTCCAAGTGAATGGTTACGCAAATCGCTTGAGTAAATACAGGGAAAGAAACAGGAAAGGCTTCTGAACTGTTTGTACTCATCTGCTCCAGTATTTTCAGAGGGTAGGGTGAAAGACAAAAAACCCGAACGAAGGCTCCGGGCCAACCACAAAGCTACTCTCCGGCAGGAACGTAAGGAACACCTACCGCCCCTCCCCCCACTTCACGCCTTGGCACCAAACCAGGGCCCCTGGGTCATTTTGGCAGGTGGAGGTAGCTCTTTGCTGTCCTCTGCCCCTGCTGCGGGCCACCCGAGTGAAGCTTTCGGCTCGGTCTCCCCAGACAAAACCGGGGGGAGACATCAAGAATGCAAAAGGTGCTCCTTTCTCCAAATGAACGAGAAGGGACAGAGCGGGGTTGGGGGTGCAGGACAAGCCCTGCAATGCGAAAGGCGCCCAGCCAGGCTCGCCGCGGCCCCTGCCGGCAAGACTGGCTCGCTTGCTAGCCAAGGTGCCTCAGGAGGTCGGGCAGCCACCCAGAAAGGCGCGAAAAAAAAAAGAGGAGTTCCTGACCCCGGGGTGACCCTTCCCCACCACTGCCACTGATCCAAACGCAGAGTCCGCAAGTGACTCCACACCTGCGCTGCAAGCCTCACGCCGTCCCCACCCAGGGCGCAGCGCTGCACGAGAGCAAGGGCCCTGGGTTCGCTCTTCCCTGCAACTGTCGCGGGGCGCCTAGCACAGCTGCAGGGCAAAGGGGAGGGGAGGAATGACAAAGAAGGCGGAGCAGACGGCCCGGGAAGCATTTACAAGCGCCAGGAAAGCGCCTCCTCTCGAGGAAGGGAAGGAACGGCTTCCCGGCCAAGGAAACGCCCCGGGGATGCCCCTACGCGAGGTGCCGCCTTTCTTCGGCTCATCGATTCTCCCGCCTCCAGGTGGTCCTCCCCCTGACCATAGCCCACCCCACTCCCCGAAAGCTGATCCTAAATACCTTCCCCGAGGCTTTCAAATCAACCCAGCCACCGCTTCAACAGCCCGCAGTTCACGCAACAGGCGGAGCCTTAGGGCTCCAGCGACGGCGGGCTCTGGGGACCAGAGGATGCGGGCGCCGCGGGCCAGACGCCCAGAAGGACGGAAAGTGCTCTGCGGCCGTAGACCCTCGGGGTCGTGCACCCGCGACCTGGACCACAGGAGACTGGGGCAGCAAAAGGTGGGGGAAGGCGCGGTAAAGTTGCAGGGTCGCCCGGAGAAGTCTCCGGAGCGCGCAGGGAGGTGGGGACGCCAGCCAGGTACCTGCAGGAGTCCGGACGCATCCAGCTAGCTCCGCTCTGCGACGCCGCCTGCCCGCGCTGCAGGGATCAGGCCTCGCGGCGCGGCCCCGCGCCTGCCGCCGCGGCGGCGAGGAGAGCGGGGTGGCCCGCGTCGGCCGGTCTGTCCGTCGGTCCCGCCCCGCTAGAGCGAGGCTCCCGGGAGCTGCGGGCGGGGCGGGGCCGGACGGGACGGGGCGGGGCCCGCCGCTCGGCCGCCGCCCCATTGGTCGCAGCTCCGCCAGCCCCTCGCTTCGGGCCCGCAGCCGGGCGCCCCGGGCCGAGGGCGCGGGCGGCTGAGGACTGCGGGGCTCCGACCGCCAGACAGGCGGACAGACCCATAGACCTAGATGCTGCCCTGCCGGCCGCGCGCCCCCGCCCAGGCCCAAGTGCAGAGTCACCCCGGAGCGGCAGGCGCTGTCCGGGTGGGACCAGGAGCGCGCCCCGCGCCTCCCACCTGCGCGCCCTCCTGGGCCGGAAGCGCCGTGGCCCTGCGGGAAAAAGATGACCTCCCCCGCGGCCCCGGCGGCTGGGGCAACCGCCTTTCTAAAGTCGCGGCCCAAGCGACACTTTGCTAATTTGCCTGGATTTCCTCAGGAAATCGCGAGGCCCAAACTTGTTTTAAAACAAAGTGCGAAGGAGAGTACATATAGCTCCAGTTCCTGCCAATGTTTGCCATCGGTCCCGCTGCCTGAAGACTCAGGCACAGTGCAGAACAAGATGCTTTGTCTTATTCCTCCACTCACCGAGTCAGAAGAGGTGCTTGGACATTTGCACCAAGCAGATGCGCCTCATATGTAGAAGAGGAACCAGTCGGGTCCCCTTTCGGAAGGACGAATGGAAGAGGAAGTCAGGGGACGATGCCTTCAGCCGACGTTGAGGAACAAACCAGGACCTCGGCGAGGACAGCGTGTGGTCCAGAAGGCATCGCTGGCCTCGCTGCACTGAGCGAGAGCGCTCAGTTAACAGCCAGGAGGAGAAATGGGACGCTTCGGGACCCACCCCCGCGCTCCCCCTCCCGCCCCCAAACTGCAGATTTTTAAGTTGTGCAGACGTGGAACAATTCCTCGGAGCCAGCTGCTCCAAGCTAAGGCGCCCAGTGTTCCCTGGGTTCCTACCCGCAGCATACGCCCTGCCAGCTGCCCCCAAGCCAGCACCCGCTGACCACTCACCTCAGGCAAGCACCTAGGAAGACGATGCAGATTCAAGCTCCAGACCTTGAGCCAAGCGCTGGGGAGGGAATGGGGGCAAAGAGATGGTGGAAAACACTTTCCTGAACTTACTGAATACCCTATGTTATGTGTGGGTTTTCTAATTGTTCTTTGCTTAATGAAAAACCCACGTTGGAAATCAGAAAAAGGCAGTAATCCTCACCGTATCTTGTGGGCTTCAAAGAGGAGGTTTTCCCCTTAAAGGGAGTTTTGGTCCAGAGGAGAGGCTAACAGCAGGCAGGAAGGGCAGAGGAAAAGATAAAGCCTAGGGTGGTCTTCCCCCTGAGGCCTGGAGCCCACCAAGCTCCAACAGTTTCATTTGGCTTCTGGGAAGCAAAGTACAGATGCATGTGTCTGCAGAGCACTGTTCTGAGCCATTTGTCCCTAATTCCATGGTTCTTTGGTTCCTCCAATCTTGTCTCCTCTCCTGTGGAAGAGGATCCAAAGCATTGGTCCACACTGCTATTTACAAGTGGCTGAAGAAGGTAACTTTCTTACATAGTTCATCTTTAGCATAAGCTCTAAGATTGTTCTAAAAATATATTTACATTTTATCAACACCTTAGAAGAATGCTTCCAGATCTCTCCCAGCAGTTACCTATTTAATCATTTTAAAATCACTAAGTTTATCCAAAAAGTCCAGCATGGTTTACTTGAGAAGGAAATATGTTCAGAATCTCTAAGCACTGCAGAAGGCACCTGCAGTGCAGAAGAGTTGGCAGTGAGGTCTTTCTCCTGGGGTCTGGGCGGAACATGTGAGCAGTCGGGAAGGCACACACAGTGGGAGCCAGTAAGGGCCCCTGTGCATCTGCAGGAGCTGAGGACAGAAGGGGTGGGCCTCCACGGTGGGCATGTAGGAGTGGGCACAGAGAAGGGCCACAGATCTGAGACAGAGACAGACAGGACTTCTTACCCTGCTGAGCCCTGCAGGGAGCCACTTCGTCTTTCAGCCCTGATTTTGTCATCTGTAAGGAAATTTCCTCTCTCCCAGGGTAATCATGTGAAGCCAATGAAATAATAAAAAGGACCACATCGGATGACCCCTGAGGCAGGTCTGCTCCCCAAAAGTTTACTCTTGAATGTTGACCAAGGTTGAGCTAGGCAAAGTGGTAAATTCACACACACGGTATGTAGCCCCTTCCCCAACCCCAGTCTCCATTACCGGGGGCATGCTGTGAACTAACTGCCTCCTTTTCCCCACACACCCACTTCCTGCCCAGTCTTTATGCCTCCCGATATGACATCCCGTTCCCTCTTAATTAACTGTGCCTATAGAGAAACATCTAGATAAACCATGCATTTAATCTGTGAGGGGTCAATCATTTAATCATCGTTGACAATAATGCTCACTCCTCTGTGGTTTCAGAGGACTCCTGGAGTGGATGGAGACACATGCCACTAATGTGGGATGCATTTCAGTCTGTCTTCCAGGCCTCGTTTGGAGGTCTCCCTCTCTTACCCACCTATCACACATCCATGTCTTCCCTTCCCTCCCCAGAGCCAAACCTGTCCCCGACTTTTTATTCTCACTAAAGTTCAAATGACAGAAATCAGCTAGATTAGTACTTGCCTTAGTCCTGAAGGAAAGGGAAGTGCTCATTAGCTTCTTAAATTGGAACAGGTCTGCAGGTGAAAATGAAGATGTGCTCATCTCTGGCAGGAAGGTTGGGAGTGAGGGGTATAGTCATAATGAGCAGCGTTTATTTGGTGTGTGCCTCTCACTTGCCACTTTCTACCCAGCTGCCTGAATATCACTCCAGTTAGTCTGAGCACATGAAACACCTGCAACTCCCCAGACCCACCATGCTTTTTCTTGACTCTCTGAATGCACAGCAGTGCCTCCTCAGCTAAGAACACAGTTCCCCATCACCAAGCTTTGCTTTGCCCAACAGACCCCTTCTCCCTTAGGATGAGATTCAGTGGATAATCACATCATAATCACGACCCTCTGGGAAGCCGCCTCTCTCATCCTGGGTTGTGTGTTGTGTGTTTCCTTTCCACACTCCCTCAGCAGCCTTTGCCTCCCACTTTCATAGAATCTACCATATGGGATTTTAACTGTTTGTCTTCCACTAGACAATAAGCTCCTTGAAGACTGAATTTCCAGGAACTTCTGTTGGATCTGCATGTTTGTGAAGTGAATTACTGAAGGCTGCCCAGTTTCATCTGATCCTAGTCAAAACCTAAATCCCTTATTTCTACGCTACCTTTTGCCAGGTAAAAATAAAACATGTAAACCATCATATCGCTGTCTTTGCTTGGCTGCCAGGAAGCTCAGAACTAAATTTACATTAAATTAAATTTAGTTCTCAATCAGCTAGAATGTTTTTATTTCAGATTATTGCTACAATGATCATGCTCTTTTCACAAAATTATTGTATGCTTACTCTAACTGCCCTGTGGTATTATTTTTATATCAAAAGTTTCTTAAGGCCGGGTGCAGTGGCTCACATCTGTAATCCTAGCACTTTGGAAGGCCAAGGCGGGTAGATTGCTTGAGTCCAGGAGTTCAAGACCAGCCTTGGCAATATGGCAAAACCCTGCCTATATAACAAATACAAAAATTATCCAGGCATGGTGGTGCATGCCTGTAGTCCCAGCTAGTTGGGAGGCTGAGGCAGGAGGATTATTTGAACCTGGGATGTGGAGGTTGCAGTGAGCAGAGATGGTGCCATTGCCCTCCAGCCTGGGTGACAGAGAGAGACCCTGTCTAAAAAAAAAAGAAAAAGAAAAGAAAAAGAAAAATTCCTTAAATCTTTATGATCTTCAAGTACAAAGACTTGAATTCTGATTCAGCTCTGTCCCTGATTACCTCAGTGATATTTCCTCTTGGGCCCTACATTTGGGTTGGGACTATATCATCTTTAAGGCCCTTGCCAGGTCTAAAAGCTTTATGTTTCTATAGATAAAAGGAGACACTTTATAAATTATTAAAGAAAGAAAAAACCCTGTGACAGGCTATGTCTCCAGGCACAAAGGAATGCTGTCCTCAGGTACTCAGAATCACCCTCTGAAGGCCCTTGAGTATTGCCCAAGGTGAGTGCCACAGAACACCTGTGCCTGACCCTAGGCACGGAAAGGAAGGTGTTTACTCCATCACACTGGCAGGTCCTCATAACACTCTAGTATAGGAAAGGCTCTGTCTGAGAAGTTAGCCCATGAAAATATTTCCAGGGATGGCCTTCCAGATTGCTCATACTCTGGTCACAACTTGATTTTTTACCACATTTCAAGCTCTTCACACCTTTCTCTCTGCCTTACTCATTCATCACCACCTCCCCTCCCCTCTCCTCTGCACTTTCCTCACATTCCAGCCCGACAGAAGTGGCCCATCTCTCCTCTATGCTCACTGCATGCCATCTGAGTCTTGCCTTTCTGGTGCCTCGTTCCTATAGTGTTTCCTTCTCCACCGGAAAATGCCTGCTTAATCTCCAGGATCCAGTATATGTCACCCATTCTCTGAGGCTTTCTCTGACTCGCAAAGCAAATTTAGTTGCTTGCTCTACTGGGTCCCATTATACTTTGTACAAAGCTCCGATTACAGTTAGACTCCTGTACTATCATTCATTGTCTATATGGATGGATTAAACTGTGAGTTCCTTGAGGGCAGGAACTAAGTGGTGTTGTTCATCTCAATATCTTAAGAGCACATTATAGATGCTCAACAAATACTTTAAGAATGAAAAGTGGCCAGGTGTGCTGGTTCATGCCTGTAATCCCAGCACTTTGGGAGGCCAAGGTGGGTGGATCACTTGAGGTCAGGAGTTCGAGACTAGCCTGGCCAACATGGTGAAACCCCATCTTTCTAAAAATACAAAAATTAGCCAGGCATGGTGGCGGGTGCCTATAGTCCCAGCTACTCGGGGGCCTGAGGCCTGAGAATCGCTTGAACCTTGGAGGCGGAGGTTGCAGTGAGCCAAGATTGCACCACTGCACTCCAGCCTGAGTGACAGAGTAACACTCTATCTCAAAAAAAAAAAAATGAATGAAAAGGGAGATGATTGGATGCCTGCATAGATAACTGGATGGATGGATGAACAAAGACAACAGGGGAAGGTATAGGAAAGCAAACCAAGAGGGAGCAAAGACCAGATATGTCATCCTCATGGTTGTTCCTCTGGGGGCATTTCGCACCTCTTTAGTAGCCCTTCATTTGTGGGGTGGAACTTAAGGCACAGCCTTCATTTCCAACTAGACAAATGAAGAGTATCCCCATGACAAAGAATCCTGGGCATACCCTCATGATCATTTCTGCTTTCTCAGTAATAATATCTCCAAGTATTACTGGGTACTAGAGTGACCAGCTCTTCCCAGTTTGTCTGAAACTGCCCCAGTTTTAAAATTCAAAGTCCAGCATTTCAGGAACCACTACATTCCAGGGCAAACCAGGACAGTTGGCCATCCTCCTAGCGATATTGCTGCCTAGGATAAAATCTACACATCCTAGCAGTGAGAGGACAGCATGTACCTGACTTATTTCCTATGGGACGTCAGTGGAAGTGGCACATTCAGCTTCTGGGCAGTGTCCTCACAGGAAGAGGGGAGTGCCCTTCCCCTTCCCTCTTTTGCCTTCATGCTCTCTGGAGCACAGAGAAGATCACTGGATCTGGATAGACATTTGAACCCACAGGTACAAGCCACATAATAAGGATGGTCAGATGAGTAGCTAGAAGGGGCCTAGGTCCTCTTAACAGCACTGGACTGCCCTCATTTATATGAAAGAAAGAAACTAGCATCTCATTTCAGCTGTTGTTATTTGTGGTTTCTGTCACTCACATCCATCTTCAAGGGTAGAGTTTCTGCCTGCTGAAAAGTGGGGATTCGGATGTCGCCCTCACACCTGGGTGCTGGCATCTGAAGATCCCTCTTTTTCATGTTCCCCAGTCCCTTGTATTATGAAAATACCCTATGTTGAAGGCGAGAGTAGCCCACACCTTCTGGCCCAGGTACCAGGTCCTAGTCTGTGTGTCTGGTGAGGTGACAATGGCAGTCAGTTCACTCCCTCCCACCTCCCATGTGCAGGCCACTGAGAGCTCCCAACTCTAAGCCAGAGGAGGTTCTGATAAGTGCTAGGCACAGCTGAAGTTTTATTCTAAAGCATGAGCAAACTGGGGGATTGTGTCAGAAGTATTCAACCTGTTGATGAGTTTCAGTGTGTTACAGTTTTGGCATAGCACTCTTGAGTCTTCATGATGGTTTTCATTAGTTCTTATAAGTTAAAATATTTATAAATGAGATTCAAATAAAATGTTTAAGGAATCCCACGAAGAATGGAAAGAAAGGAAGAAAGGAGGGAGGAAGGGAGAGAGAGAGAGACAGAAAGAGAGGAGTAGGCAAGAGAGGGAAGGAGGGAGAGAGGGAGAGAGAGGAAGGGAGGGAGGGAGGGAAGGAAGGAAGGAAGGAAGGAAGGAAGGAAGGAAGGAAAAGAAAGAAAGAAAGAAAGAAAGAAAGAAAGAAAGAAAGAAAGAAAGAAAGAAAGAAAGACCCTATGTTACCAGAATCAAGGCTGCTAGGACAGAGCCTTCCTTCAGCCCTGTGGGAAATAACTGGCAAACTCACTACCCGGCTCTTAGTGATATAAAGAGGAATGACAGGTCTAGTGTGACCCAGGGTTGGGGAAGGGAAGGAAATAGGAGTGTCCATCATCGTGAGACAAAGGGTTCTCTAAGTGCTCAAGTGGAAACCCATCACCCCACAACACAGGCACCCAGGTTCTCCCATGTGTTCCAGAAAGCCTGTGTTAAACTAAATATCATACACAAGAGGGCCACACGTGGCATCACTAGGCTGCATCTGTGAGGAAGTTGCCCCCTATCCTCTGAAAGAAAAGGGGCCTGGAGTCAGCTGTAACCACCCTGAATGTGCTCCTCAAGTGGAGGTGGGAGACGAGGTCAGGGCCTGAGGCCCGCCTGGGGCAAGGAAGGGAGCCCAAGGCCAGGCATCCAGGCACAGGCTCAGCCAGGAGCCTGGGGACTAGAATACTCATTCTTAGGGTTTAAAAAAAGAAAATGTGTGTTTAGACACTATTTTTCTGAATGTCTTTCTGTTCTACATATTTTGTCTTGTTTCATTTTCCATTAAAATTTCTTTTGAAAAAAAATCACCATTTCTTTTCACAATAATGAGAAGGAAATTCTTCCATTTCAAAATATGGTGGTGAGAAGGGTTCAAAAAGTCTTTCTGGATGAGCACAGTGGGCAGTGAACGCCCCACTCTCTGTAAGCAGTAACTCACAGGTCATTTCATCTTGAATGCACCTCACTCTTCCTCTTTATGAACAGCTGGAAATATTGAGGAGTGTTGGTCAGCTGCACTGACTTATTCATCTTTCTTTCCTTCTTTTATTTCCCTTGGATGCAGAGGGTTAACTTGACCATACTCTTCAGTTACGGCATATTGTCATCATTAGCATGTACAAGGCCTCTCTCCTGGTTTGTTTGTTAGTTTGTTTGTTCGTTTTGCTTATTCCCTCTTCCACACTTGCATGGCCAACCCACTATCCATAGGCAGCCATTTTTTTTTTTTTTTCCGTAGACGGAGTCTTGCTCTGTCACCCAGACTGGAGTGCAGTGGTACAATTTCGGCTCACTCCAACGTCCACCTCCCAGGTTCAAGCAATTCTCATACCTCAGCCTCCCAATTAACTGGGATTACAGCCGCCCACCACCACACCTGGCTAATTTTTTGTATTTTTAGTAGAGATGGGGTTTCACCATGTTGCCCAGGCTGTTCTCAAACTCCTGACCATCAGTGATCCACCTGCCTTGGCCTCCCAAAGTGCTGGGATTACAGGCGTGAGCCACCATGCCCAGCCATATAGGCAGCCATTCTAACATGCTTATTGATAGTCTCTTTTTCCATGTGTCCCTATAAAATGTATATGACTGTTTTGAATGCATACTGTTTTAATTTATGTAAATGGTAATTTGTCCTTTATCTCAGTCTTTTCTTGTGTTCCACTCCACACGGTGGGGTGTTTTTAGCTCCATCACTCTTGCTCTGGGTGCATCTGGCCTGTTTCTCATTATTATCATGTTATCCACATGCTGCCCAACACTCCCCAGGGACAGATGCCCAAACTACCCCAAATGCCCCCCAATACAAACAACACTGGGATGAACATCCTTGCATGTGCCACTTTATGCACATGGGGAGAATGTGAGGGGGATATATACACAGTGCAGGATTGCTGGTTAGAATACGAACAGAGCTGATATGAGAATATTGAAATGCTTCTGCATTGGCTGGTAAATAGCCACGCCCCCAAGCCCCATGAACATCCTTCCTGTTGCCCCAGCCCTGTCCCAGGGACACTTCAGATTTTCCACGCTCTCAAAAACTACAGAGTTAATGTCTGGGGCAGCTAGAACTGACAGTCTTTCTAGCAGTTGCTAAATATTTCAGTATCATCCCTGGATACAGTAAGATTGTCTCAATCCTTATTTCTCTACAGAACAGCTAAAAACAAAAACTTACCAGTCCAATCTCCAGTTCAACCTTTAAGAAATAGTAAACTGCAGGAACCCTGCTGATATTTCAGTCGGCATTACCAAAGTCACGTTCTACTCTGCCTGCCCAGAGATGTGGAAGCCAGCAGGCTGTGACTAGTCTTCTGGTGTCAGGACCAATGCAGCCAGAGGCAGTTGTCCCAGCAGGTGAAGAGCACTAGACTCCACACCTCGAGTTTTAACTTAACCCCGTCCCTCTCTAGCTGAGTGACTTTGAGCACATCATTTCTTTCTCTGATCCTCGGCCTCCTCATTTACAAGATGATTTGATACAGAGCAATAGAGAGGAAAGGAAAAGCTATATGGTGTCAGGCTCAGCATTATACTAGCTAAGTCACCTTGGCCCACCTGTGCCTCAGTTCCTCTCATGCAAAATGAGGATAATGATACTGTATTGTAAAGTCTGAAATTCCACGTGCCACTGACATCTTTGAGCCTCACAGTTCTCCAGAGGCTTAGCCATGAGTTCCCATGCTCTCGCTAGATATGCCCCCACACAGTGGTAAAGGCTCCCTGCCTGGCTATATCCCCTATCAGCTGGACCAGCTGCATCCCCTAACCCTAACTCAACCTAGTGGATTTTACCTCCCTGCCAGCCCATGAAACTACTCATAAAGCCAATCACATCCTCTCAAGGAAACCAAGAGGCACCTGACGCTGTTGTCATTACAAAGCCTGCCTCCCACAGTCCCTGTTGGTTCATTCTGCTCCTGAGTGCCACCCCATGTGGCCCTGCATAGCAGGCAGCATCCTCCACCCCAGGGCTGCGAGTATATGTGACTAATACACTGCCGTCAGAACCACGTGTCAAGTGTCACGTGTCCTGTGTGCAGTCATCCCATGCTATTTAGGGCAAAGGAGGCCTCCTTTACCAATGGAATGACTAGGAGGTGATCAGAACAAATGCCTATCTTAAAGAGTTGAGAAATTGAAGGGAATGATATACATAAAGCACCTAGCACCTTGCCTAGGTCTGGTAGAAGCTCATGCAAACAAAAATAAAAGCAAACAAGAACATAGCCAGGACAGGATGTTGGTAACAGCCAGAGGTTGAGGCACTGCCGGAACCTGGGTGGGAATCAAGCAGAATCTCTCTTATGTGCTTTTGAAAAGACCCTACCTTGTGCTGACTGACTTCATGTTTCATTGCCAAAAATGAAAAAACACATTAAAAAAAATACACTCCTAGGAACATGTTCTTTTTTGTAGGACAATGAGAAATGTCATTCAGAATTAAAATGGTGACTGCTTGGACAGGCTATATTTTTGCATTTCCAGGACCTGAAAGATAAGATTGTAATATAAGACTGCTTTCTTCTCCAAATCCCCCAGCACCTGAAAATGATGCCAGGTTTCTGGAATCCACGGCAGCAATGGGTGATAAGTCTCCAGCATCTGGGTGACAGCAGACTGACTCTGCTCTCAAGTCTCATTAATCCACATTGTAAGTCACACTATGTCCCTTTGGCTCCATTTTCTTACCTGTAAAATGGGGATTTTGAACTTACTAATATGCCAGACACAAAGCTAAAGAAAGGAGCTGAAGAGACAGGATAAAAAAGACGAATAATAGGTTCCTCCCTGTAAGAGCTCACAATTCAGTGGGCTGACATCATCGGCCTTATCCACCAGATAGAGTGTTAGAATAACAGGATAGCAGGATAGAGAGTTGAGAGATAAAAGCACCATATAATGTGACAGGAACTGCCACTTGTCACTCAATTTCCATTCTGCCCTGCTATCTTAGTAACAGAACTCCTGTTTTTATGGGGCAGACATGTCCCCAACTAAACACATTATATTTCCCAGCCTCTCTTGCAACTAGTGTAGAGAAACCAACTTTTAGAACCAGATGTAAGCCTATACATTCTCTTATGTTTCCAGGGAGTCTTTTTAAAAAGGGGAGCCATGCCCTTTTCCCTTTTGTCTTCCAACCTCCTCCCTAGAATGTGGATGAGGTGACTGGAGTTCTTGCAGCCATTTGGGGCCATGAGAACAATGGGTACACCTTAGGGATGGCAAAGAGTGAGCTAATTGGAATATGGGGCCCTCACCTCTTTGCAGGGCTATTTTATCCATGTTGTATACTGCAAATCACTGTACTTCTCTCACCTGAGAAACAAACAGCTAACTTGTGTATAGATGTGTGTGTATGTGTGTATTAATGCAACTGATTCCACTCTCAACTGATGAACGAAAATATTTAATATTAATAAGTATTACACATAATCCCTACTTTATTTAGCTCCTAAAGATCTCATGAGATTTATTTTAAAACTAACATGCTTCAAGAATTTTTTTAACTTCTGGAATATCAAGTGATATGGTGGTGCTGAGCAATGCAGGTATTTTCACAACTATCTTTAGGAGATTCAAATCAATGCTTGGGCTCAGGTCACTTTATGACTGAGAAGTCTGGAAAATTGTATTTTCTTTTGAAGTAGCAGGTGAACTTGTAGGACAATAAATCAGCTAGACATGACTTGAGCCCTCATGTACCCTCATTCACAAGCATATGCACACGCTTACCTGCATGGATGGACATGTACTTTCAGGAAGCCACACTATGCATCACACGCATGCATAGCCACACACAGGTACACTTTCACATCCATACTCAATAGCAGGCTCCAGTGGATTTCCTGCAATTTTGAAGGCCCTGGATTTTCCCTTCACCAGAACACTACGTTATTATGAGTTATTATTTTCAAGGACTTGGTTATACAAGGCTGGAAGTGGTGTGATGAGTCATAAAGAGCAAGAGCAAGAAAGCTTAGTAGTCAGTCCTTGATGGTGAAGGTGGATTCATGGAAAAGCAGAGAAAGGCAGATTCCCTACTACACATAAGTTCCAGGGTCAGAAGGAGAATCCTGATGAGCCAGGGGCAGTCTGAACATCCAGAGGCCTCACCTTCATGGAGGATACTGCATGAGAGTGTGAGTTAAGCTCCTCCCTGAGCTCCTGTCCTCCCCGCTCCAGGCCTGCTCCTCTAGACAAGCAATTTTCAATTGATTCGATCACTGCTTGTATATTTTGCTATCTCTTTGAGCTCAGCCTCTAGCTCTGATCCCAGTCCTTTGAGAACCTCCTCAGTGCTGTACACTATGCTCAGGATTTAAGAAAACACAAAGATGAAGAAGACACAGTCTCTGCTCTCAAGAAGTGACATTCTATCAAATAATTGAGAAATAAATATTGATAGCCAACTCCATAAAAATAGATAGATAATTACAGGAGTTGATACAAATCGTAGAACCTTGGCAAATTCTCAGTTGTCTCATCTGCAACTGAAGAATAATAACTTCTGCCATCAGCAACTTGTGAGCTTAGAGAAACTACCCTCATAAATTATTTAGGGATTCCCTCTGCTACTCAACAAACCTTTTACTCAACTCTAGTTTATTCAACATTTCCCAGAAAACCCCATCCAAGTCTTCCCCACTCTAAACCCTGGAAATCTTCATACCAATTCAATCCCCAGGTCTCATTCACAGCAGAGAATTTGTCTACCTACTTACTAAGAAAAAAGGCCAGAAGCAGTGGCTCACGCCTGTAATCCCAGCACTTTGGGAGGCTGAGGTGGGCAGATCATGAGGTCAGGAGTTTGAGACCAGCCTGGCCAATATGGTGAAACCCTATCTCTACTAAAACTACAAAAATTAGCCAGGCATGGTGGCACATGCCTGTAGTCCCAGCTACTCGGGAGGCTGAGGCAGAAGAATCACTTGAACCCAGGAGGCAGAGGTTGCAGTGAGCCAAGATAACACCACTGCACTCCAGCCTGGGTGACAGAGAGGGACTCGATCTCAAAAAAAAAAAAAAAAAAAAAGAAAGAAAGAAAGAAAGAAAATAGAGGCCACAGGAGTTATGGCCGCTCAGTTTCCATCTTGTCTATCTTGAAGTCTCCCTTTATCTCCTGCCTTGAAGAAAGATGCTTATATCCAAGTACTTTGGAGAGTCAAAACAATAATGACCAAGAAATCCAAGACCATAAAAAAATAGAGTTTTAGGCCGGGCGCGGTGGCTCACGCCTGTAATCCCAGCACTTTGGGAGGCTGAGGCAGGCGGATCACGAGGTCAGGAGATCGAGATCATCCTGGCTAACACGGTGAAACCCCGTCTCTGCTAAAAATACAAAAAATTAACCGGGCTTGGTGGCCGGCGCCTGTAGTCCCAGCTACTCCAGAGGCTGAGGCAGGAGAATGGCGTGAACCCGGGAGGCAGAGCTTGCAGTGAGCCGAGATCGCGCCACTGCACTCCAGCCTGGGCGACAGACAGAGACTCCGTCTCAAAAAAAAAAAAAAAAAAAAAAAATAGAGTTTTAACAAACAATCGCTGGTCTGAATGTGTTTCCCAAAATTCATGTGTTGAAACTTAATGGCCAATGTCACAGTATTAAGAGATGGGGCCTTTAGGAGGAGATCCCTCATGGATGGGATTAGAGCCCTTATAAAAGGGCTTAGGGGAGTGATTTTACTCTCCTCCTCTTCCACCATGTGAGGGGATAACGTACAAGGGCCTTCTTGGAAGCAAAGACCAAACCTACTGGTACCTTGATCTTGGATTTCCCAGCCTGAAAAACTATGAAAAATAAATTTATGTTATTTATAGTTTGCCCAGTCTCAGGTATTTTGTCATAGCAGCACAAATGGACTGAAACAATCACCAAGAAGCTAATTTACAACTGTAGCGTGAGCTTCACAGCCTCGTGGAAAGATACAGGCTTCCGAGTTGTTGCAGGACCACTTACGGCCTGCATAGCCTTGAGCATGTAGCTCAACTTTTATTCGTTAATTTATTCAACCAACATTTTAAGTTCTATTGAGTGCCAAGTGCACTAACCAAAGATACAATTTAATCATTCTAAAACGAGGATAATACTAACATTTACTTACAAGTTTGTCTTGAGGTTTCAGTGCCCCACCACGCACAATAGAGAATAATAAATGTGAATTATCTTTCACTGTTCTTCCTGGCCCTTAGTACCTATACTCCTTTTCTGTATATAAAGAGAAATTTCTCATAAACAAAATAAATTCCTAGTTGGATAATGAAGAGCATCAATATAAATCCTGAATAAACTTCAAGGCATACCCTTCCATTCTCACAATGAAGTACTGGGCTGTAAGTAATCTGGTTGAACTAAATTCTTGTTATATGTAAACTATCCGAGGGCAGAGTCAGCAAATACTGTCATATGATGACAAGCAGAATCCCTTAGGGTAAAGGGCTAGAAACATGGCTTCCAAATATGGTCTTCCTGGCAGTCAGAAGAGCTATGTTTCCATTCACTCTTTCCACCAGTCAACAAATGTTTTCTTAACATTCACATTGTACCAGGCTGGGTACAAAGAACTGATATTTTATTAAATGTGAATTTCAAGGGCACAGATTTAGAGGTACAAATTCTTAATTGTCTTTATTTCTCTATTGCTGAATTTATGGCAGCAGAAAACAATTTTAGCAATTCCAGGTAAATCTGGTAATTCCTAGAGTTAAATTCTGTTAATTCAGGCTCTTTCTCTGCCCCCTTCCTTCCCTTATCCCTTCAAGTATCTGTGATCAGGGAGGGCTGTGTACCACCCAGCAACAAGGTAAGTGGAGTAAAGTATCCACAGTGGGCCTCTGCCCACACTGGCCTCTGGTGGGATGGGCTCCCCACTGCTTGATGCTCATCCTATAACCATGACTCATCACTGATGTCCTCCTGCTCACTGGTCCCTCAGTTGCTTGTTGAATGCATTCTGTTCCCTCATGGCCCTGACCCCAGTGCTTCTGGTCCATCACTTACAGCATTTCCAAAGTACCTTTGCAGGGTTCAGAAACTCAGCCCCTTTCCTTTCACTCAAGGCACCTGTAAGGCACTTGGCCTCTCAATTCCAGATAGCTCACTCAGCTGTCACTACTCTGGTTCCATCGCCATGCTGGAAGCAGATATTGCTTGTGAAAGTGGCATTGGTATCCTTTGCCATGGGATTTTTCCAAATGTGCCTGGGATTTCCAGCTTTCTCCCCTTCATAGGGCCTCTACCAACTCTCTCAAGGCTAAATCCCAAAGGATTTCCCACCATCTCATGGCGAGCTCTGTGTAGAAAACTGGTTCTTCAACTATTGTCTTTTCCGTCTGTCGTTTGTGCCAGGATTTGACTCTTGAACTTCAATAATTAATCCTTTTCTCTCAAAGTCATTGTTTTGGGCTTCAAGAGCCTATTTTGCAAGTCCAAAGTGAAACTCTAACATTTCTTTCTTTTTGCGGATTCAACGGTAATCCTCCCTGAAGCAACAGTATGCCTCTGACTAAATAGAAGATTATGTACAAAAATCGTGGAAGGGGAAGCACTCTGGTTAATATTTTAAAACATTGTCTCACTACGTATTAACCACACACAGTCCCTGCCTTGAGAAGCTGACAGTCAGTGAGAAATTTTCACCAAGTGGTTAGTTAGGCCAATTGACCAGATCTGTAATTAGCAAAAGCTGATTTGTAAAGCAACCCATAGATTCAGCTCTATTCCAAACATTTGTGGGGCCATAACCAGAGCTCAGATAAAGGTCCCCAGCCCTTGAACCAACACTCTTGCTTTTCCATCTGGTTCCTTCCAATAGCCACAGGGAGCCCCACACTCATCCTGAAGGACACTTCAACCCACACAGCCAAGATGTCCATAAAGCATGGTTTCAGAATATGTTGTACTAGAAGGTTTTCATTTTCTCATATGTGTTACCATCTAGAGATCAAGTTTAAGCTAATATCTTGGCTTGGTAGTTCTGTGGACCATAAGAACTAGTATAAATACAAACCCCAAACCTGACCGTGAGAGTAGAAAAAAATTATTACATCCAGAATCCAAACTGGAATGGGCAAGGTTTCTTGTCAACTCCTTTCCCCTCAGTATTGTGTCCAGGCTTTATGTAAGGCTAGTAATTACTGTCCATATTCATTGAATTTAAAAGATTGATCAGAGCAAAAGATGGATGGGTCTTGAAGAATGGCAAGTCATTACTTTTTCTCAGGAAAAGGGAGCAATTTAACCTCCTAGAACCTGAGATCCACATTTGGCCAATTAGCCATTCCCTCCCATGGCTTTGTATAAAAACAGATGATGCAAACCTGGGGCACATGGTGGGCATGGTTTGTCAGAGTGGTGGTGGCAGTGCCTGTAGCAGCAGGTTTGATCAATTGGCAATGTTTCTGCTTTTTGCTTCTTAACCATCCAGACTGCATTTGATTCTTGACAATTCCCAATTATGATCTTCTCAACTCTCATGAACTCTGTGAATTCCCAAGAAATTACCCTTTGCTTAAATTTGTCGGTCATTTTTCAGTTACTTGCAACCGGAAATGTAATCAAATTTGCCACCAGAAAGGCCCGTTTCTTTCCCTCCACTGCTGTCTGCACTTCTGAATCTTATGAGCTCTTTGCCAAGCATTCTTTCTTCCCTATCTTGGGAAGATTTGAATGACATTATTTGTGAGTTCTGTGAGTCAGCCTCCTGCCTCAATGATCTCCCCAGGCCATCAGCCACACCAGCTTCTTTAGGAGACCAGATCCTTGGTCATTCCAGATGACCCATGGCCTCTCATTGCAGACCCATGGTCTCTCATTTTTTTGCTCATGCCAATGGTCTGAGGGTGGAACTAGGACAGAAGACCCACATCTCTGTACCTTTACACTGATTAATGGTAATGTTAAAACTAATGTTTACTAGAGCTGGAACCCGGGGCACATCACCTACACCTTTATTGCTTATAGTTCCACATTATAAATAGGATATTGGACCTTGCCTTTAGATGGATCCTACAAATTCCACAATTACTACAAATGTTTTTCCTCTTTTCTCCTGAGAGAACACCACCGCCAAGCCTTTGAAACAGGTGTTAGTACATCATATGAAAGGCTCATTAAGGTCAGCAAACACTGATGTGGAACCCTCGTCTAGCCATTTCATCAGAGTTCAGACTGCTTTTCACAGGCCTCAGTTTATCTCTCTCTAGAGCAAGTTCAGAGACTAATATTCCCATCCATCCATCCATCCATCTATCCATCCTTCCCTTCACCCATCCATCCATCCATCCGTCTATCCTTCCATCCACCTATCCATTCATTTCTTCATCCATTCATTCATCCATCCATGCATCCGTCCACCCATTCATCCATCCATCTCAGCCCTGCATGCACCTGACAGTCTGTTACCTGGTGAGAAACTTGTAATCCTAGTTTTCTAACTGTCCAAATTATCCTCTAAACACCTCTCCCAATTTATCCACCTCTCTTGATTGGTGATCCTCATTCACTCAAGGGAGGAAACCTTTCTAGATCAGGACTTACTCCTGGTGGGAAAAGTGTCTGCCACTTATTTCTCAGAGATGCCAGAGAATTCTCACTTGTCAGGGAAGTGATATTCCTATCTTCTTGGGGCAGACTAGCACTCAGAGAATCATGTCTAATAGCCCTCCAATTCCTTCTATAGAAAATAAAATGTACAGGCACCACCAAACCATTCATATTCCCAAGCATTCTCTCAACCAGCAGCTGGAAAAAGGCTGGCATGTTGGAGAGGACCAAAATGATAAAAGTCATCATCATCATCATCATCCTGAAAAAATTAAGCCTGTTTCTTTATTTTCTTCCTCAGCCATGGATTTATGTAGTAACACTCACAACTAAAATCAAATCTGAAAACCACTGGCCAACTACTAAACAGATTAAGGTATTCCAAATCTGGGACCACTGTTAATTCATTTAATTAGTGTCCCATAATTCACACATATTTTAATTTTTTCTGATTTTTTTATCTCAATACAAGTGGGAATACTTATGAATTTTAAAACTCACACATGTCATTTACTTAATATGCTCCCTAAATCATTGCTTTGACAGAACTATTTTTTCAAAAGATCTTACAAATGTTGCATTGGACACATTTATACAAAAAAATTCTGACTGTGTACCATATGTATACACACAAGCAGATATATATATATATTTCTAAACCTGGCAACCTGTCTCTTACTTGTGCTTCTCCTGCATGCCCCCTGCCGCACCCCACCCCCACATATGTACACAAATCCACAGCCTCAGGTAACCTGTAGCATCCAATACTGCTGTCCTGGAACCTGTCTAGGCTCCCTACATGACCACTGATTCTATTGGCTACTCATGTCCTCCCACCAATTCTGTCACATTGCTAATGATCTCTGCTCTCCCCTGAAGAAATCCAACTTTCTCAAAAAAGCCCATGTTGGAAGACACACATTTATAAAATTCTCTGCCTAGGTCACTTTCCCCTACAGGCGATTCCATGCAGGTAACGACCTGATAAATTCATGCAGGAAAGCAAAAAGTTTCAGGCTTCTGATTGAAAAGTTCATTCTCAACAAGGTGCCAGTGCTCAGACACAGAACCCTCTCCAGGTGAGCCCCTTACTTCTCAGACTCCTGGGCACCATTCTGCTCAGAGCTAAGATGCTACAATGAGACCTTCCTTAGCTCAGTTCTATGGAATGCTTTGATTCAGGGATGGCAGGATACTGCCTGCATTTCAACAATTACTAAGAAGCTTCTGTAATGTATACTCTTAGCTCTGGAAAGGTGGGGCAGTCCAATTCAGTAGAAAAAAAAATGCTTTCAATAAATCCAAGCGGCAGGATAGAGGGGAAGAGAGGGAGGAAACGGGAATACAAGCTAGATTCAGTACAGTTTCTATCCTTGGTGTGCTCTTGGTGAAGTAAGGAAACACATATTTTTAACGAGCAAGATGATTGACTTCCTTCTTCCTGAGTTCCCTTTTTTTGGATACCTTCTCTTTGGGTCAGGTCAGGCACATGTTAAGTTAGGATAACTGAAAGAAGCCTTTGTAATAATAACTAACTTTTTTCTTTTTTTTTTTTTTTTAAATGGAGTCTCACTCTGTAGCCCAGGCTGGAGTGCAGTGGCATGATCTTGGCTCACTGCAACCTCCGCCTCCCAGGTCCAAGCGATTCTCCTGCCTCAGCCTTCTGAGTAGCTGCGATTACAGGTGCCCACCACCACCCCTGGCTAATTTTTTTTATTTTTAGTAGAAACAGAGTTTCACCATGTTGGCCAGGCTGGTCTCAAACTCCTGACTTCAAGTGATCTGCCTGCCTCGGCCTTGAAAAGTGCTGGAATTACAGGCGTGAGCCACCGTGCCTGGCCAACCACCCCGCCAAGTGTCTGGTATCATACAGGGGGTTAGGATTTCAACAGATGAATTTTGGAGGGACACACAAACATTCAGACCATAGCGGGGCTGAGCTGCCTGTGATCCTGTGATTTGTTGTCAGGGGTGTGTGACTCCCCATAGGTCAAGTAGACGCCACGGGACATAGCTCAGGTTGGGCCACCTTGCAGGCACCTCACATGGGAGGACTGCCCATCTGGCACAAGGACCCTACCAACAAGAGGCCCTGCCTGGGCACTGGTGGCAGGAACTGAGGGGAAGTGGAAGAGTTGGGTCTCCCAAATGCAGAGACTAAGCAGGGGTGTTCTACGGTGAGCAGGTCTGTGCAAACACTCCACCAAAGGCCAAAGAAAGAGGCTGACAAATCCAGTTTCTCAGAAAGAAATCTTTATTAAGGATTTATGAACAGAAGCCATGTACCAGGTGCCACGAGATGGGATGGCAAGATGGGATGGTGGATCCCTGCACCATTATCTTTTAGACCCAGGGCTTCCGTACCATAAGGAAGGAATGTGTAGGACAATTGTAGTGGACCCCTCAGGGAAAGGCAAGAATGCTATGGAATCTGTCTAAAGGCAGGATTTACAGTAACAGTAGATAAAATAGAAATCTTAGAGGCATCCCCAGAACTGGGATTAATCGGAAGTCAACATGGCAGGTTAGCATCCAAGATGGAGTTGCTTTATCCTTCACAAAAAGGGAGGCCCTGGAAGCCCACTAAGGAGCTAGCCCACAGAGAACATCAAGAGCCCATTATTTAAAGAAAATGTGGTACATATATACCATAGAATTACTATACACCCATAAGAAAGAACAAAATCATGTCCTTTGCAGCAATATGGATGCAGCTAGAGGCCATTATCCTAAGTGAATTAACAAAAGAACAGAAAATAAAATTCCACATATTCTCACTTATAAGTGGTAGCTAAACATTGTGTATTCATGGACATAAAGAAGGCAATAAACTATAGGGGCTACTAGAGGAGGTAGTGGGTGGAAGTGTTGCAAACTAAGTATTGAGTACTATGCTCAGTACCTGGGTGATAGGATCAATTGTACCCCAAACCTAAGCATCACACAATATACCAAAGTAACAAATCTGCACATACTCCCCTGAATCTAAAATAAAAGTTGAAACTGTTTTTAAAGAAAAAGACATGAAAGAAAAAAAATGCATCCCCATCAGCCAGAGTAGCAGTGACAATCAGCAGAGAGAGGATTACCTGTGCTGACTTAGCTAGAGACTGACCTTTTGTCCCTCATCCAGCAGTGAGTTCACACCAGCACACACCAACTCATACCAACCTGTAAGAGTGTGTTATGCATATCTGTTCCCAATTCCATGTTCAGTAACACCACGCTGGGAGCTTGAAATCAGCTGTGATGGGACATTTACCCCACAGAAACCTGTAAACACTACAAATTAGGGCATTTTTCCAGAGAACCTGTTGTCAACCATTTACCAGAACACCACTGCCTCTCTGCCCCCACCTGTGCTCCCACCCATTACTGGAGTGACAGCTGACTAAGGGAGGAGGCAGGGGAGGAGAAAAAAGAAGGAAGAAAAGCAGACCATGCTCCAGTGGTCTCTCCAAGCCCTTGGAGCATGGAAATGGCTTAGGATAAGCAAGAACGGTTTTGAATGACATATGAGGTTGGCATTTTAAACTAGACTCAAATGATTTTAATAAATAAACAAACCAAAACCTATGAAATCTCCCCAAGAAGTGGGAGGGAGGAGTTGGTTGTATGCCAATTGAGGATAGTGATTATAAGAAATAGTCTGTGCCAGGCACAGTGGCTCACACCTGTAATCCTAACACTTTGGGAGGCTAAGTCAGGAGGATTGCTTGAGCCCAGGAGTTCAAGACCAGTCTGGGCAACGTAGGGAAATCCTATCTTTACAAAAAATAAAAAATTAGCTGGATGTGGTGGTGAGTGCCTGTGGTCCCAGCTACCTGAGAGGCTGAGGTGGGAGGATCTCTTGAGCACAGGGGGTCTAGGTTGTAGTGAGCCATGATTCTGCCACTGCACTCCAGTCTAGACAACAGAGTGAGAACCTAAGAAAAGAAAAGAAAAGAAAAGAAAAGAAGGAAAGAAGAAAGGATGGAAGGAAGGAAGGAGGAAAAGAAAGAAAGAGAAAGAGAAAGAAAGAAAAGAAGGAAGGAAGGAAGGAAAAGGAAAGGAAAGGAAGAAAGAAGGAAAGAAGGAAAAGAAAAGAAAGAAAAAGAGAAAGAGAAAGAAAGGAGGGAGGGAAGGAAGAGAGGGAGGGAGGGAGGGGGGAGGGGAAAAACGGAGGACAGAAGGAAAAGAGTCTGTGTTTACACTGAGTGATGTGTCCTCAGAAAGCCCTTCCATCTGTCTCCCTGCAGCACCTAAGGTGTTGAACCACAAATGGCTCTTAAACACGCACATTCTGAATACACACATAATTACACCCTACCCCTTGCCTGGCCACTGAGCTGCTGCATGGTCTTGGGTTAATTGCTTTCCTCTTGGAGCTCCCTCCTTCTCCTGGGGAAAGAGACATTTGGAGGAGATGAGCTCTCTCCTCCAACATGCAAAACCTCCTCCGTGAATTCTACACACACATACTCTGCAGGACACCACGTTAGTCATCACTGAGACTGACAGTCACTTTCCTCTGCGAATTTCATAACCAAGAGAGAAGAGGAGGAACAAAGCTGAGCTGGCCTGCCTAGGTGGGGGATGTGCAGCAGGAAAGCCCATGGATTTTGGCATTTGAGTCTGCAGTGAGCTAGAACATCCTCTGCAGTCTGCTTTCCCACATGCATGGTCTTTAAGATAAACTGTTTGCAGGGAGCACCCAAGGCTATATTTATTGATCAACATAATCTAGAACATAATCTAGGAAACAATCAAGAACAGGAGTTTATAAGCCACAGCCACAAGCTAAGAAAGGTTGAAAAAATCTAAAGAATATTGCTTTATAACCGTCATTATATGAAAAAACACTTGCACACACATTTATAGCAGCACAATTCACAACTGCAGAAATATGGAACCAGCCTAAATGTCAATCAACCAACGAATGCATAAAGAAAATGTGGTATATATACACCATGGAATACTACTCAGCCATAAAAAGGAATGAAATAATGTCACTCACAGCAACCTAGATAGAGTTAGAGACCATTATTCTAAGTGAAGCAACTCAGGAATGGAAAACCAAATATTGTATGTTCTCACTTATAAGTGGGAGCTAAACTATGGAGATGCAAAGGCGTAAGAAGGATATAATGGACTTTGGGGCTTGAGGGGAAGGGCAGGAGGGAGGTGAGGGATAAAAGACTACACACTGGGTACAGTGTACACTGTTTGGTTGACAGGTGCACCAAAATCTCTGAAATTACTGCTAAAGAACTTATCCATGTATGTTAGTCCATTCTCATGGTGTTATAAGGACATACCCAAGACTGGATAATTTATAAAGGAAAGAGGTTTAATTGACTCACAATTTTGCAGGGCTGGAGAGGCCCCAGGAAACTTACAATCATGGCAGAAAGGGAGGCAAACATGTCCTTCTTCACATGGCAGCAGCAAGAAGTGCTGAGCAAAAGAGAGAAAAGCCCCTTATAAAACCATGAGATCTCGTGAGAACTTACTCACTATCATGAGAACAGCATGAGGGTAACCAGCCCCATGATTGAATTACCTCCCACTGTGTCCCTCCCACCACACGTAGGGATTATGGGAACTATTAAGTTGGTGCAAAAGTAATATAATTCAAGATGAGATTTGGGTGGGGATACAGCCAAACCATATCACCATGAAACCAAAAGCTACCTGTTCCCCAAAAACTATTGAAATAAAAATTATGTATTACTTCATAACATATAAAAATTATATTGAATTCCAATGTTACTGTCATTAAATAAAGCTTTACTTGAAACATGGCCACACCCTTCCATGTGCATATTATCTATGTCTGCCTTATCAGCCACACTGGCAGAGTACGGTATTTGCAACAAAGACTGCGTGGCCCACAAAGCCTGAAATTTTTACTTTCTGTTTTTTATGGAAGTTTGGCCAACTCTCACTCTAAGACCACGGAAACCTTATTCTTCCATGACCTGCATCCTGTTTCTTCTCTGGTTAACTGAGGAACTACCTCTTCTGATCCCTCAAAGCCCAGATCAACAACACTGAAACATTATGGCTTCAAGTGCTCCTCAATGCTGGAGGAGTAAGGAAGAGCAGGACACTAAGATAGCAGGGCCTCATGCCATAAAGAAGAATGAAATCATGTCCTTTAGAGCCACAAGGATGCAACTGGCAGCCATTATCCTAAGCGAGTTACTCCAAGAACGAAAAACAAATATCATAAGTTTTCACTTATAAATGGAAGCTAAACATTGGTACTTGGGGACATATAAATGAGAACAATAGACACTGGCGACAACTAGAGGGGAGAAGAAAAGAGGGAGACAATAGTTGACAAACTAACTATTGGGTACTATGCTCACTACCTGGGTGATGAAATCATTTGCATCCCAAACCTCAGCATCACACAATATACCCATATAACAGACCTGCACACGTATCTCTGAATCTAAAATAATTGTTTAGTAAAACCCCAAACTTTAAGAATCCCAGAAGAAAACTTAGGAAACACCAATCTAGATATCAACCTTAGGAAATAATTTATGACTAGGTCCTCAAAAGCAATTGCAACAAAAACAAAAATTGACAAATGGGACCTAGTTAGACTAAGGAGCTTCTGCACAGCAAAAGAATCTATCAACAAAGTAAACAGACAACCTAAGAATGGGAGAAAATACAAACTATGCATCTGACAAAGGTCTAATACCCAAAATCTATCAGGAACTTAATTCAGCAAGCAAACAACAACCCCATTTTGAAAAGCGGTCAAAAGACATGAACAGACACTTCTAAAAAGAACACATACATGCGGCCAAGAAATATATGAAAAAGTGCCCAATATCACTAATAATTAGAGAAATACAAATCAAAACTGCAATGAGATACCATCTCACACCAGTCAGAATGATTATCATCAAAAAGTCAAAAAACAAGATGTTGACAAGGTTGCAGAGAAAAGGGGAATGCTTATACACCGTTGGTGGGAATGTGAGATAGTCCAGCCACTGTGGAAAGCAGTTTGGAGATTTTTTAAGGAACTTAAAACAGAACTGCCATTCAACCCAGAAATCTCATTACTGGATATATACCCAAAGGAAAATGAATCAATTTCCAAAAAGACACATGCATGCATATATTCATGGCAGCACTATTCACAATAGCAGAGACGTGGAATCAACCTAAGTGCCCATCAGTGGTGGATTGGATAAGGAAAATGTGGTACATATATACCATGGAATACTACATATCCATAAAAAAAGAACAAAATCATGTCCTTTGCAGCAACACAGATGTAGCTAGAGGTCATTATCCTTAAGTGAATTAACACAGAGAAAATCAAACACTGCATGATCTCACTTATAAGTGGGAGCTAAACACTGAGCACACATGGACATAAAGATGGCAACAGTGGACACTGGAGGCTACTAGAGGAGGAATCGTGGGAAGGGAGCAAGGCTTGAAAAACTACCTATCGGGTGGTCTTCTCACTACCTCAATGATGGGATCATTTGTACTCCAATCCTCAGCAATGCGCAATTTACCCATGTAACAAACCTACATATGCACCCTTGAAACTAAAATAAAGCGGGAAAAAAAACCAAAAACATAATAAAAGTTGAAATTACCTTAAAAAAAGAAAAAAAAACAGAAACGGGGATAGGGGCCTGGCTCAGCCTGGTAGCCCTCACCTCTGACTGCTCTGAGCCAGGTCCTTGCAACCCTCCGCCTCCCCTCCCCTCAGCAGTCTGCCCCTGTTGGAGGAGCGCTGACCAGCACTGCTTGCTTACTAAAGAGGAGAAAATTGAGATCCAGAGGGGCTTGTTAATCAGTCTTAATCTAAGAATAAACTAGGAACAGGATTGTTTTTCCAATCACTGACTTCACTGACTGTGAAATGGCTTTTTTTGTTCCTTAGTGATACACTGAGCAGATTAAACAACCTTTCAGGTCGTTTTGGTTGTTAAAAGTCCAGTTTGGTTTAAAATAAAATTTTATGTTGACAGTGATCTCCCAGCGGTCCACAACTGTCACTTGCCCCGTCACTTGCTGGTCTGTGGCTAAAGAAACCTAGCATGGGGGACAGGGGTGGTGTGTGGCCAAGGGGACCTGGAGAGGAGGACAGGTGTGGTCTGTGGCCGAGAAGACTTGGAGTGAAACACAGGTATGGTCTGTGTCTGAGGAAACCTAGAGTAGGGCATGGGTGTGGTCTGTGCCTGAGGAAACCTGGAGTGGGGGACAGGTGTGGTCTGCGACTGATGGGACCTGGATTGGGGTACAGGTGTGGTCTGTGGCTGAGGGGACCTGGATTGGGGGACAGGTGTGGTCTGTGACTGATGGGACCTGGAGTGGGGGACAGGTGTGGTCTGTGGCTGAGGGGACCTGCAGTGGGGGACAGGTGTGGTCTGTGACTGATGGGACCTGGAGTGGGGGACAGGTGTGGTCTGTGGCTGAGGGGACCTGGAGTGGGGGACAGGTGTGGTCTGTGACTGATGGGACCTGGAGTGGAGGACAGGTATGGTCTGTGGCTGAGGGGACGTGGAGTGGGGGACAGGTGTGGTCTGTGGCTGAGGGGACGTGGAGTGGGGGACAGGTGTGGTCTGTGGCTGAGGGGACCTGGAGTGGGGGACAGGTGTGGTCTGTGGCTGAGGGGACCTGGAGTGGGGGACAGGTGTGGTCTGTGGCTGAGGGGACGTGGAGTGGGGGACAGGTGTGGTCTGTAGCTGAGGGGACCTGGAGTGGGGGACAGATGTGGTCTAGGCCTCCCCTTGCTGCACATTGCTGTGGAGGGGACTTGTTCTTCCCCAGCCCCCTGCCCTTTCCTTCTTTAGGGTGAAGACCTCCAGGATATTGAGGCAGGAAGAAGGGACAGAGAGGAACAAGCCTTTTATGGTATGTGGGGGTGGGTATGTGTTATTTGGGGGCTGCTTCTTTGTTTTAACTGTATCAGCTACTGCTGTGGTCTTCTGTTAGCACTCGCGCCTTCTCTAGTTTCCACAAATGGCCCTCAATGTCATTGCATGGCAGGTGTATGCTGGGCTTGCTTTTGTTGGTGACATGAGGGGAACAAGCTCATGCTGGGACTCACCTCGGAGACCTGACAGCGCCTTCTCCCTGCCTTCCACTGAGCTTGGAGATTCTCTGTCTCCCACTTTCTCTTGCTCTCAGTGGTCTCCCCTTACAGAGGCTTTCTTAAGGGCAAACCTGCACTCCTGAGGGATCCAGCAGGGCCCGGGGAAAGTCACTATTCTGGCCACACCAAAGGGTAGGAGCAGAGCAGCGTCACTGCCTTCCTCCCCCCTGCCTTCCCTCCCAGTCCTCTTGCTTGCTGGGGTTGGCTGGGGCAGGTCTGCAAGACCCATGCTGGGCAGGTGTCCACGCAGGGAACCACACACTCACCTTCCTGCAATGTCCTGTGTTCATCTCCTGGAGCCTCCTACTCCTGGGCTTGTGGTGGGCACCTTTCCTCTGCTGAGCCATTCTGCCCTTTCGCTTATGCATGTCCCTAGTGATCCCTACTGGGCAAAGGAAAAGCCCCACTCAACCCAATAGCTAACCCAATAAAGCAGGTGAGATGGGCCTTGTCCCTGCCACTGAGCCACACTGCTAAGTGGAGGAAAATGTGACCTCCTTCAGGCCTGAGAATATCATTTGCCTTCTGCAAATAGGACCAGCTAATGTTATCAAGGAGGGCTTAGGGCAGGTTTTATTTCAGTAGGGGGCCTTTTCAGGGACTGGGACTAAAACAGGATCCCCTGAGCGCCGAAGCTGGGCACCAGTGGATTCCTGAGCGCCTCCCAAAAGCCATTAGAGGGCAACAGGCTCCCCTGTGTGGGCATCTTCTGCTATTGCATCTGCACAAAATCGCAGTGTCTGAAAATTAAAATGACTCATAATCCCACATGCAGAAATAATCCTGTTACCATGCTGTTGCATTTACTTCCAGGAGGCTTTTCATGAGCACGGTAAGTATGTGAGTCTACATCCCTCTTTGTTCACTTAATTGCCCAAGACAACTCAATTTTGCCACTCAGCCATTTTTAAAATATAAAGTAAATGTTGCACAAAACAGTGAAATCATTGCTGGAATACTGAGGAACGGTCACTTATTTTATACTCAATAGTTTCTCTTTCTCCTCTCCCTCTCACATGCACACACAATTTTTAGGGAATCTTTATTCTTCCAGGTAGGAGTTGGAGGTGGGAGGAGAGCAGGGAGTTTCCTCCATGCCCTCTTCAGTGTGTGCCCCAAATTTGCCAGATGCTTTTTACATGAGAAACTTGTGACGTAGAAACCTGCTAGGCCAGGCACAGTGGCTCACACCTGTAATCCGAGCACTTTGGGAGGCTGAGGCAAGCGGATCGCTTGAGCCCAGGAGTTCAAGACCAGCCTGGGTAACACAGTGAGACCCCTGTCTCTACACAAAATCCAAAAAATTAGCCAGGTGTGGTGGCATATGCCTGTAGTCCCAGCTACCCAGAAGGCTGAGGAGGGAAGATCACCTGAGCCTAGGAGTTCGAGGCTGCAGTGAGCCACGATAGCGCCACTGCACTCCAGCCTGGGTGACAGAGTGAGACCCTGTTTCAAAAAAAAAAAAAAGAAAGAAACTTGCTACTTTACAGATAAATAACCTCAGTTCAGAAGAATGAAATGACTTTCCAAGGTCACACAGCTAATGGTGTTAAGACCAAGAATTAAGCACAGTCTTTGATGACCCCAAAGCCGTTATCTCTGAGATACTAGACCTACAAGATAGAGCTCCCTCCCACCCCTGGAAATGGTGTCATCAACTGACATCAGTTGGGACAGTTTCCAAAGTTATTTTTGATCAATTTTACACATTCAGCCAGAATGGCTCCAGCTCACCCCCAGTTGTCTCCAGATAGGCACTCACATTGCCCTCTAAGAAATCACTCCTGGGGCCCCAGTTGGTGAAGGATGTTCTAGATCCTGGAAATTCTCCCCGCAGTTGTACTTTAGCACCTGTAACAAGAGATATGATGCTGTGTTGCCAGGAAGTCCCAAGCTGAGAGGAGATACCCCTCTGTGCCTCCTGTAGTCACCAACCCTGGCTCCAGCCAGACCCTCCCAGGCCTCTGCAAAAGCTGCAGCTCAGCGACCACAGCCCTTGTAGGAGGAAGATTTCTTTAACAAAAAAAGCATGGAGCACCCAGGCTAGCATGGCCCTCGGAGATCGTCCAGGCCAACACAGAAGCCCAGCCCAAAGAGGAGAGCACTCAGCAGGCTACAGACACAGGCCGCTCTGCAATGTTCGTGGTGGCTCCTTAAGAGAGCCTCTGGTACGTGAAATGGAGGAAGAAAACCTTCCAGCGTTTGGCCCATCACTGGCAGCAAATGAAAAACCAGACTCTGTGACACATTAATCATGGAGCCAGCTGCTCCTTCCTCATCCTTGTCAGGGCTGTGCTAAGTGCCCATCAGCCATAAGCTGCTTCATGAGCCTTCTCTGAGCACAGGTTACCCAACCAGGATTGGTGGCTGAGAATAAATAAATAAATAAATAAATAAGTAAATAAACAGACAGAGTTCCAATCAGCATGAATTTCCTGAATGCCTCTCATGCTGGGACTGGGGGCTGGAGTTACCGGGTGTGTAAGACACCGATTTGCGGACCCCAAACAGGCAAGGCATTCACTGTTTTATTCACTCATACAACACTAGTTGTATTTACAGTCCTTTGTAAATAGCAGGTCCTCTTTAAAAGTTTTTAAATAAATAACATATTCCTGCAATGGAAAAATTCCCATTCTAGTAAGAGAGAGATGATTTAATGTACACACATACATTCAGGTTTACTCACTCCCTAGCTGATTTTTAGTCTTGGCTGAACATTTTACAGGCCTTTTCCTGTTACCATTTAATTTGCACAGCTGATAAAAAGTGGTCAAAAAACATATTCTAATTGGAAATATATACATATATGTATGTATACATATATTCTTACTCATCGTAAGTTTTTCTTTTCTGCTTAGCAAAACCAGTAGAGTTGCCAAACTGAACAAATAAAAATACAAGATGTCAATTCAATTTGAATTCCAGATAAACAATGGGTATTTTTTAGTGTGTATGTTCCAACTATTGCATATATTCCAAAGATTGCAATACTCCAAGTATTATCTGAAATTCAAATTGAAGTGGGCAGCCTGTATTTGCACCAGGCAACTCTCTTTGGGACTCTACTCGAATGTTATGGAACATTCTGAGTGGGCTGGAAAGGGAAGCGTTCAGAAGTAATCAGCAGATGGCCAGGACCTCCTTGCAGGGCAGCTGTGTCCTGGATCCTGCTTTGCTTCTGGGTGAAGGAGAAGCAGCTGTAATAGATTCTCCTGAGGATCACAAATCCTATTGAGGCCAGTTCCATGCCGCTAGGCCAAGCAGAAAGCAGAGCTTCTCTGCAGAGATAAAAGGCAGAGAAGTGTCTTGCTGTGCCATGGCTCCGCATCGTACTGTGAGGTAAGTAATTCTGTGTGGCTCTTACTGTAGGCCTGGAGCTGAGCAGACCACAGGGCCTCAAGGATTCTGGCATTTTAGGCAATAGAGGTCAGGGAATTAGTCAGCGTCTCTGTCCGTATCTCTGTTCACCTGCCTCCCTGTCTTTCTCCCTGTCTCTGTATCTGTGCGCAGCCACCTCTCTCTCTTTCTCCTGTCTCTCTCTCTTTCTGAATGTTTGGTGAACTTCTTATACCTCTCAAAGCAGGAAGGAAAAAGGTATCCCTGTAGAGTCTTGACAGTACAGTTTGCTCTTTTATCAGATTAATTATTGTAGGAGCTTTTGGCTTTCAGACATGGGCCCCTGATGCAGGTTGGTGATAAGCTTTTTCTTGTCCACCTGGCAAGGAGGAGCTAGGAAAAGTGGCACCCAGAGGCTCACTGCCTCCTTCTGTTTGCTTCTGCACACACAGATGCAGACTTCATTATCCTTGAAAGTGTGGGGAGCCTCATGCAAATGAGCCTGGGGAGACAAGTATGTCTTTGCCCATGTCAGAGACAAGTATCTTGACTTTCATGTAGTTGGTGAGTACCACAGATTTTGCAGGTACAGTCTTAAACTGCTCTCAGTTCTCATGGGGTGTTGTGGTCACATGATCTCTTCTTAGTCTGGGTCACTTCCAAGGATTCCATCTTGTGTAGGGAGAGCTCCAAAGGGCCTCATGTTTCCCATAAATCTTTGGTAGCTTCTAGCTTTCATAGCATTAACACAGCCCCATGTGCCATCTGAAGAGTATTTTGCTGGGACCTAGAACTCTGGCGATGGCATAATTGGTGAATTTCACATTTTGGTGGATGTATGTATCTAAAGAATTGACTACCATGAAGAAACAGCTGTTTGGGTGGCTAATTCTTCAATAAGTCACCATGCATTTTCTAGAAACCACAAATGATTATGGAGAGAGCTTTGGACTTAGGCTTAACACCATATCATCTCTGTTCCTCAATAGCTGTGTGCCCCTGAAGCGCACTTAGCCTTTCTGACCCTCTGTTTTCCCATAAGTTGGGGACAATGCCATGTATTTTTGCAGAGGGCAGTGAGATGCATGGATGAAATGATAGTTGTCAAGTGCCCAGCATAGCCCCTGCCACATAGTATTATAGTAACTTATTTTTTAACAGACACCAGTTGAGCACCTTTGGGGTGCCAGGCACTTCCTGGAGGCTTAGGGGCATGGGTCAATAAGATGGGCACCAAAATTTCTGCTTTTATTAAAAATAACCTGAAACCCCAAAAAAGGGGTTGAGCATGCAGGCTCTGGGTCAGTTGCCTGGGTTTGCACCCTGGCTGCAGCTCTTCTCAGCTGTGTGAACTTAAAGTATTTTTTCTCCTCTATAAAGTAGGGGCTGGTGGATTAGCACCTGGAGGCTAAACAGGAAGAAGGGCATTTGGTAAGAAGCTGTCTGGGGCTCTTTCAGATCAGTTTGGCTCAGGAAGAAAGACAGATGAGGCCCTGGCTGCCCAGAGTGGCTACACCAACCTCTCTGACCACTGGGGAAACGTAGGCTCCAGGCATCTCTCCTCAGCTGCTACACCTATATACAGGTGAGTGTCCCATGCCCTCTGAATAGGACTTGTTTGGTTGTGTTAAAAGAAAAACTTCAGCCAAATCAAATTTGAAAAAGTTTAATTGAACAATGAAAAATTTGCGAATTGGGCAGCACCCAGAATCACAGCAGATTCAGAGGAACTCCAGTGCAGCCATGTAGTGGAAGAAGATTTGTAGACAAAAAAGGAAGTGACATACAGAAATCAGAAATGAGGCACAGAAACAACTTGGATGGGTTACAGCCCAGTGTTTGCTTTATTTGAACACAGTTTGAACACAAGAGTGTATGTATGAGTGGTTGAAGTATGGCTGCTGGGACTGGCCAAGACACAGTCACTGTTACAGACACATGCTCCCAAGTTAGGTTTTCAATCTTGTCTACCTATTAAGTTAGGTTGCAGTTCTTCCACAAGGACACAAATATAGAAGTGCACAGTCCTGTCTGGGCTCGGTGGCTCAGGCCTGTAATCCCAACACTTTGGGAGGCCAAGTCAGGCAGATCACGAAGTCAGGAGTTCAAGACCAGCCTGACCAACATGGTGAAACCCCATCTCTACTAAAAATACAAAAATTAGCCGGGCATGGTGGCGTGCACCTGTAATCCCAGCTATTCAGGAGGCTGAGGCAGGAGAATCACTTGAACCCAGGAGCCGGAGGTTGCAGTGAGCCAAGATTGAACCACTGCACTCCAGCCTTTGTGAGAGAGCGAGAGTCCAGCTCAAAAAAAAAAGAAGTACACAGTCTTTCACAGGCCATATTTAGTTTGCTTTAACAGTTGGTACACAGTCTGCCTTAAAAGAAGTGATAAGCTTGGAGTTTTGGATCTTCTCTGGGTTACTGATTATATTAAGACTCTTACTCTTGGCTTCCTCAAGCGCTTAGGAAAAGAAAAAAAGGCTGAGCTGAACACAAACACATCTCTCTTAAGGCTGGAGTAAAACCCCTATCCAAGGGATTCTCTGCAGCAAGTCCAATCCCATGGCTCATGAGGAGTGAGGTTGTATTCTCTTGCACTGCATCTTAGCAATGAGTATCACTTATTATAAGTGCACCACAGCATGGACAACCAACTTGTTGGGGGAGTGGTTCTCTTCACAATAGTATTCATGGAGAAGTGAGCTATGTGGTTTGGTTTGAATAAATGAAGTTAGTTTTATTGTATGAATGCTAACGTTTGGCATCTATCCAAGGATTTCCAAGCTAATTTGTTGCATTTATTTTTCTGAGATGTGCTGGCCCCTTCCAGAAGTCCCAAAGGCCCCATCAGTTTTAAGGCCTACAAAGTAAGTTACTTTCAAAACACCCAAATGTGGCTTCACAAGGAGGTCCCTAGAAAGAGTGGAATTTGGAGCTTATATAAGCAGGTTAAGGCCATATGGTAAGGTTTGTTTTGTTTCATGTGTTCAAATTGTGCTTGTTTTGCATCAGGTGCTGTCTTGGGTGCTGGCATTGAGCAGCTTATGTTCACAGGCTGCCTCTCATGTGGAGAGGGAAAAGCATTGCATACAATGAGACCATGTGACACAGAGCTCATCACATTTGGTTCAGTTGAAACTTCCACATGAGCTGTAGGTCCTCATGTGGAAAACAAGTATCCCATTCTGATAAGGTCAGAATTCTCTTCCCTGCAGAGAGATGTCGACTTTATCATAACTGTGCAACTTGATGTTGCCACGGATCCTGCCAGAGCTGACATTGCTTCTTATCAGAAAAGCGTGGGCTGCCCCTATACCTCATGGTTTTCCAGAGAGATCACGTGAGACAAACTACATGGAAGTAAGAGGAAGACTCGCTCCTGGCCCGGTAAAGAAGGCACCACAGTGCTCTGTGTCGGAAAGTGATCCAAGCTTAGTGTGGCTCTTGCTATTTCCACCCATTTCCTTTTGCCATCCAAAAGAGTCAATTAACTTCATAGACCCATAAACTAGTTATGTTGCCATATCAATGTCCATGTCAACCTTTTAGCTATTACCACATTAGTCCATGTCAGTAATAGAGAACTTTAAAATTTTCCAACAAGTAGATGACTTGTTAGACCAAGCATGAGGTGCTCAGGGAGGTTGTGAAAGTCAGTAAGACTTGTCTTCAAGGTACTTGGGCTAGTGGGGAGAAATTCAGGTATGCATTTACCAGCAGATTTTTCTAGTGTTTCACAGTTTTTCTAAGTGTAAAATTCAGCAATGGGGCTGTCTGTCTCCTGGAGCTCTTCATTTCGCACTGGAGTTCTACACTGTTATCCTCATGTGGCCAGTATGATACTCAGTCCCAGCAAATGGAGGAAATCAATAAGAGCTACCATCTACTGAGCCTTTAATACGTGCCCTGCACTGTAAGAACATCACAGGCATGAACCCAATCTCCCAATAGCCCTGTGAGGTGTCTTGCCCTTTTTGCAAATGAGGGAACTGAGCTTAGGAGCTAAGTAAATAAAATCTTACACAGAAAGCAGTAGAAGTAGGATTAAAGGCAATATCTTTCAGAGAGGACAGGCCCTTATCTTTAAACCTAATATTCTGCAGGTGCCAGAGAAAAGCATGGACATGTGGCTTTACTACCCTCCATTCTTACAAGAGAGAATTACTGTTATTATATATTTTGGCCAGTAAAAAAAATTCTAGAAGCCAGAAGTCAGCTCACGATTTATAAAGTTGAAGTAAATGCATTGTAGTTTCATGTTTTCTCTTAATTCTGCACAAAACTAGCTAAAAATCCTTTAAATCAGTTACCAGAGGCAATACCTGGGTTAATGTAAGCACTCAAAAGTTATGTAGAGTAGCTGTCTCTGAGTCACTTTTTTCTACTCTCATTGGCTTCACCAATGCTTCCACTGGATCAAGAAAGACTAGCTACCTCTTACTGGGTATCAGCTGCATGCCAGCTCTCTGCTAGTTATCTTATGCAGTCTATCCTCTTAAATGAATTCAAGGTACTCTAGAATTACCCTTGGCTTTCTTTGTAGGAGTTATGACATTGAAGATGCAGAAGCTCAGTCACCTATTAGATGATAGCTTCTAGGTAACTGACTGTGTATAGGAATGAGATCATAACCACATTGATTTGAAGTTAAAAGAAGATCAAATCTACCAAGACTAGGGAGCCTAAAGTGTTTTTAAATTTATAGGGTTAAGCAAATCTTCTTCCCAAAGATCTCTGTTAAGAAGGAAGTTCCATTAATCCCCGTGGACCTGCTCTAGGACAAGCCAGAGGACTGGGTGGCGGCGGCCTTCTCTGAGGCAAGTGTGTGGTAGGAAAGCCCAGGAGATTCTTCCATTGAGCCGCTGAATCTCACCTTTAACTAGGATGGGAACTTGAGGTCCCATTAAAAAGCATGGTCAGATGGAGTTTGGGAGTTCTCACTATGAAGTTTCAAGTGTCCTCACACCTGTGATTTTTAGCTCAGGTGACTTCAGGGGTGGCTTCCATCTGGCAGACGGTCTTTTATGCACCAGTCATGTGGTGTTTGATGCTGGTGCAGGATGCCCACAGGGCTGGCTACAGAATCAATGTGACTGACACGAGGATCCTGCTGCAAGCTGGCTTTAAAGTCTATCTCTATAGTAGTTAAGCTATACTTACCAATATAGCTTTAAAACAAATTGCCAGGATTCCAATCACTTGTGATTCCTGTCATATTCAAGGTATTACTTTTACTGCTGTAAGATCAAGTACTTTCTACAAGTAGTGCTGGATGATTCTGATGGTGGACACAGCTATGGCTTGCCCTGTGGGTAAAAGACATGGAGTTGAATTTTGGTAGCACTTACTTGAGAATATCTGGCTTTTTAACTTGTTGTACAAGGTAAGAACTATTCCTGCATTAGGGCTCTTAGTTGGAATCAACAGATCCCCAGTTCTAATCAGGTAAACAAAAGTTCTTCATCTAGAAAACTGAAAATTCCAGGGTTAGAGTTGACACAAGGCATGGCTACATTGGTTTTTCCTTCATCTTTATTCTCAGAAAGACCCTCTCTGTTGTAGCAAAGATAAACCTAGAACAGTTTGAGTCCATCTTTATTGCGAAAGATTTTGGGGCAAATGCTTCAGTCCCAACGGTTGAAGCAAAAGTACCCTATGGATCCCTTTCTAGCCCAGCCTCTATCACCTAACCATCCTTGAAACAACCATTATGGCCAAGTCTACCCTTCAAACTCCCATGGCAGTGTCTACAGTCATGTTATATCCCTGGCAAGCACAGCAGGGAAGGGGCAATTCAGAGACAACAGAAGTAGGAAACAGATGCCTACCCAGATACCCAAGTGAATAGGGTGAAAAATCTAAATGGGAGGCCTTTCACAATCTAGGGCTCCCCTCTCCCGTCTTCTTCTCATGCTTCCCCTCCATGTATCTTCCATGCTGGCTGATCTGTCACCTTACCTCTGCTGCACTTACTCCTATCTGTCAGAGTTTCCCATCCCTTTCTATCCTTAACACAATAAAATACAAAGTACTTTACCAACTCTATTTTTGGTAGTCCATTAGTTTCCTAAGTTTTTCCTTCAAGGCCTGGTCAATGTCCCTACTTATTCTAGGAAACAGTTCAGATCGTAGCTTTCTCATTGTGTCATAACCACATAAATGAGTTAGGACCTCATTTTTCTAGTTGTTTTAGTCTGTCTCTCAAATAATCCTCCTTCCCAATGTCCACACCCCATTGCTTGACACATTCTTTTTTTTTTCTTTGAGACCAGATCTCACTCTGTCACCCAGGCCAGAGTGCATTGATGCAATTATTGTTCACTATAGCCTCAACCTCCTGGGCTCAAGTGATCCTCCTACCTCAGTCTCCCACGTAGCTGGGACCACAGGCCTGTGCCACCACGCCCAGCTAATTTTTTTTTATTTTTTATTTTTTGTAGAGATGAGGTCTCACTTTGTTGTCCAGACTGATCTCAAACTCCTGGGCTCAAGTAATCCTCCCACTTCAGCCTCCCTATGTACTGGGATTACATGCTTGAGCCACCACGCTCAGCCCCTTTCTTCTTTCTACAACAACCAAATTCTGTTAACTTAAGTCTAATGTTCGTGTACAAAAAGTAGGGTACAATGTATCTTTAAGATAGCATGTATTACTCCACGGACACCATTACTTTGACCATCCCCAAGAACATCAGCCCCCTTCTCAATGGGGCTGGCCACTTCAAGGACCTCTCTAAAGAGATGGGAGTGAGTCTTCACAAACTGTCCACAGCTGACATTGTTTCTAGGCACTATGAATTGAAGAGTGATGGCAAGACAATTTCTATCAAGATTCCTCTTGGTGCAGAAGGTGGTTATTACAAGGTTGGTAACTTAATTGAAACTTAAAGATAGATATCAACCTATATATAGAAACATGTAGGTGAGATATAGATGGACTCCCATATGCTGGTACACCATCTAACATGGCCTGCCATAGCACAAGGATCAGTGGAATACCTACCTTTCATGGACTACTTATCTAAGAAAGTATAGTTAATGGTAGCATGAGACTTTATTACAACATGGACCCCAAGTATAGGATTTGAGATTCTAATCAGCAAAATATGAGTGTTTAGCAGCTTTCTAAAAGGAATTAGGTGTTTGTAGCACCACAGAAGAAAAACTTGGGTATTTCCTTGCATTATTACAGAAGTTAAGGACATGAAGGATACTTGGAATTTGTACAAAGTTGATAACTTGGTGGCAATTAACACTAGTGTCTATTTCCATGTTACTGACGAGTTTATCACCAATTTCAAAAATCACTGCCTAGTGAGGTAGAAATTGAGATTCTCATAAAGAACTGTGCCTTAGCATTGCAGTTATCTTGTCTCCACTGTTTCCTTTGAGACTCATGTGGGAGACAGGCACTACGGGGCCACCGATAGTATTAACTTGCTTCTGGAACATCAGTGGGAGGACGACAGCTGGGGCATAACAAAGCACACCGTGACCAGCTTCCCTAGATTTAGCTTCTATTTCTCTGATTTCCTTCTATTAAGTTCAATAATGAGTTTTAATCTCTAGAACGATTTGGCTTTTTCATATATGCCTCTTCTCATTTGATAATACTTTAGACTTATGTTTGATACTATTTATATAAATTTCTGAGATTACTGACTTCGTAAATTCTTACCGTTCTATTTGAAATTTCAATCCTATTTACTGATTTACACTCAAAGATTTCTTCGTGTGTTTTGTTACTTTGTATTTTGAACCTATCTTGAGTAGAGCTTTGCACATAGTCTGTGTGGCCTGGTTTGAAAAATGTGTTTCCATAGAAGCTTTGTTTTTCTGCAAGGTACCCCAAGTTATTCATAACTGGAAGACATTCTTGAAAATGGGTTTGGTTTTCTACATTACACTGATTGAGAAACCTAAAACCCTGAATTAAATTGTAAGGGCAGGCTTAGTGTTATAAATTCTAGGGAAACTATCCTCTTACTTTCCAGCCATAAGACCTCAATTGTAGATGGGGAAACTTATCTTTTCTTATGGCTATGTGGAAGCAAAAGGTTTCTAGGTTACCCTTTCAGTGGGAATATAATACCTAGAGCATCTAGACTTCCTGCAAGGGTCCTATTTTTAATTCAAGCCTCTTACAGGCTTGAGATGCTTCTGTCACTCTACAGGTACTAAAATACAAGTCCTTGGCTACTGGGATTGACACCATCTCTAACCCCCATTACCGTTCTAGCAGCTGCAGTGTCAGATCATCATTTATTGTTCCAGGTTTGGTTATTTCTTTCATGGTCTAAGATTTCCTTTATGGTCTTTGGAATCTCAACCTTGATCTTAAGTGTATTATATCTTAACATGTCTAGTTGTCATGCAGTGGTCATTTTCATGTTTCTCTGTTCACACTATTTCTGGACCTGAGTCTCTTCACCTATCTAAATGTCTGCCAGACTGCAAGTCCAAGGGCTCTGTGGTAGTTACTGCAATGAAGCTGAAAGGAGCGTCAGGCCTGGATCCACAGGAATTCACTTTAAGGGACAAATCTGCAGTTGTTACTAAAACAAGTGCAACATTTTTGTTCAGTGTGAATACTCGTAGAAAAGTAAGATTATTTTTTTACCACACCTATGTGTCTTCTCCACTTCCAGTGAGAACGATGCTATGTTCATAATTATCTTCACTGAACTAGTTTGAAAATGACATTTTAACTAATGAAAATGACGTCCTTTACTTCCAACCTGGAGCAACTGATCCTATGTACCAGTAAGATGGTGTGAAGGGAAGGGAGGATCAAAGCAGAAAAGGGATTTCTCCAGAAGTTTTAATTTTTGGTCCTGTTTGTTAGGCAGGAGACTTAAATACTTCCCTCCTTTTCTTCACCACCCGGAGTTTGTAGAAGGCAGCAGAAGTGGGTGGAAGTGGGGTAACTCCATTATAAGCTTTGCAGCTGGTGATGCCTGATGATTCAAGAACTGTTGTGTCTTTTCTAAGGGGATGCTGTTGTATTTTCCTCAGATTAAGATGTGCCTGCTGGTATCTTCTCCATGATGCAGTCACATTTCATTACCAACCAAAGAACAACCTGGTACCCAGTGTTGAGCCAGGACTTGGTCTTATCGCCCTGACCATGAAGGTGTCCAAAAATAGATTCTTCTTGGCAGTATGGGAAGGCAATTCAGTTCAAGGCAACAATAACAAAATAATTTGGCCTCATATAACACTTCCTATCAGTCTTACTTGTGTCTGTTGTCTCATTTATTCCTCAGCTACCTTAAGAGACAGGCAAGAACCGCTGTAGTTTCATCAATTAGAAAACTGAGGCTCAGTTCAATGAATATTACAACAAAGTACAAGAGGCAAATATCCTACATGAACAGATCTTATGAGTGAAAACTTACTAATATCAAATAGATATTAGTAATTGATATATAAAACTCACCGAAAAACACAGACTTTCTATATATTAAAAAGTCTATCACTAGAAACTGGAAATACAAATTAAAAATGAATTATAATTTCTTATCAAATTAAAATACTTGGCAACGTCTATTTTATGTCAGCAAGTGTGTGGTAAACAGCTGTCGCACTGCTGATGGTGAAAAAATTTGGTAGCATCTTTACAGAATGCAACTTGATACTGTGCTATAAACTATGCATGAGTTTATATTCCTTCTTCTAGAAATATGAGGAAATAAAATGTATTCAGACTTATAGACAAATGCTGTCACCTAGTATCTGTAAGAGCAAATATATATTTAACATAAATACATAGTATGTTCCCTGTATAGATAACTCTTAGAGGTTTAGGCTTTTCAGATTTATGGCACATCAGGTCATAGAAAGTTTTAGCTATTAAGTTAATTCAGATAATATCTTAATGACTAGTCAGTCATCAAAGTGGGGAAGCAGTGAGGAGATAATAGTATAAAATAAAATTGTAGGCAATAATAACAGAAAAGTTTAGAAAAACAATGTTCTCTGGTTGGTGTTAGGATTTCTCATCTGTGCATACATATTTAGAAAGAATCCTCAAACCTAAGTTTATCTCCTTTTTTTTTTTTTTTTTTTTTTTTTTTTTAAGACAAAGTCTTGCTCTGTCCCCCGGTCTGGATTGCAGCAGCACAATTTCGGCTCACTGCAACCTCTGCATCCAGGTTCAAACGATTCTTGTGCCTCAGCCTCCCAAGTAGCTGGGACTATAGGCCCACCACACCATGCCTGGCTAATTTTTTTATTTTTAGTGGAGAATGGGTTTCACCATGTTGGCCACACTGGTCTCAAACTCCTGACCTCAAGTGATCCTCCTGCCTCAGCCTCCCAAAGTGCTAGGATTACAGGCATGAGCCACTGTGCCCAGCCCTAAATATATTTCTAACTTAATTTTTATTATATCACAGTTACTATTTTTAAAGCTAAAACTTTCTATTAAATCTGTGAAGAAAAGAATTCCAAATAAGAACATTATTTGACTCATTGTATTCAGAATTCTACAAGAATGTAAAATACCCTGTCATAAAATATTTAAAAGAAGCAGTTTTCTTCAAAATTGAGCTTCTGTATTCTGAAGATCCACAACTAGAGTTATCTCTAGAGGATTGCTGATCTACCCTAGGCCTAGATCCCAAGAGCATCCCACAGTGAAACATTATTAACAGGCACTTCAAACTGATAACAGGTGTGTTTGTGTGATGTTTACAAGCGAGGAAATTGAGCCCTCAACTCATTAGAATGCTTAGGGTATAAGTCCTAATTTATTTTCTTAAACTACTTCTACATATTCTCTTTGTATTTAGCCTTTTTCTTCCCTCAAAGCTTATAGAAACTGAATCTGAAAAGTTTCATTTCTTTCTCATAGAGGGTGGTGAATAATATAAGTTGAGATTTTTTTGAGTCCAGTCTGAATAGATTTATTTTCAATGGAAGGTATCTTAGAGGTAAGAATGTATTCACTCAAAATCATTGAGCGCAGCATACCAAGTACCAGTCTACATATCAGGAAGACAGCAGTGAACAAGAGAGTTTCTGCTCTAAGCCTATATTTACTGGGGAAGATAAGCACAGACATATTATGCTCTGAAGAACATGAAGCTTTTTAAAAGGTTGCAGTGACTGGTGAGTCCCATGGTTGGAATAGTTACACTCTCTGTAACTATTTAGTGAAGAGTGAGGCATTATCACAAATCATCTATGCTATCTCAAATTCCTAGGAAATTAGTAAAAATATTCTAAGTGTTAACTTTTCTGCCTCAAATTCAGAAATGTGGCCACCTTAACTCATTGCCTATGGCTAATTTACTCTGAGAGTAAATTACGTTGTGTCCTTGGCTCATAATGAGAATCAATGTGAAACCATCACATCTCTGAATCTTCAAGGAAACTACTGCTGAAGATGGAGGAATAAAATGGACTGGCCCTTATTGTATCAGTTCTTTTTGATGCTTAATGCCAGGAACGTTTTCTTCTGTACTTTGTCTTCAGGAAATGAATCCCATGACACTGTCTCCTTTCCTGCCTTGGCTGATAGGAGGCTCAGAAATGAACATTTTATCTACCTGGGATTAAACTTTTCTCTCAGTAGCTTTCACTTTTCTATGTCAACAGTCTTTTTATCTATCTTTTCTCATCAATCATTGAAATGCAAATTTTTTAATTCTGCATAAAGACAGTACATAAAAGTCAACTTTCACAGAAGAATTAAGAGGTTTATATTATTCTGTTCCTATAGCATGCAAATGACCTAATATCTGGATAGTGAGGTATATTTTTGGAAAACTTCAAGCAAGAAGAAACATTAAGGCTGTGCTCTTCAGATTAAAATCTAGTCTTGCTACAAATGTTAACAGATGCCCTCTAGCACTGAATTCATAAAAATCTACACCTTTTTTTCACCCTTTTTGCTTCACTTTTTTTTTTTAGTGTACCTTAATTGACCTAAAAGGCTTCACTATGAGACGCATTCTCCATGTAGTTTCTTTTTCTTCCCATGTAATTTCTTAAACATTTGCCAAGCCTTGTGATACAAACATTAGAAGACCTTTAAGTTATTACAAAAGGCCTACAAATCAATATACTTATCAAATATATGAAGTAGAAATTCAAGATGCTGTCAATAATCATAGTAAATTGTCCTAACTTCCCTTTTGCTAAGGGAAAAAAAAAATAAGTAGATCCCAAAACTTCTAGGCTGGGCACAGTGGCTCATGTCTGTAATCCCAACATTTGGAAGGCTGAGGCAGGAAGATTTCTTGAAGCCAGGAGTTCTAGACCTGGAGGAGCAACACAGACCCCATCTCTACAAAAAATGCAAAAATTAGCAGGGTGTGGTGGCATGCACCTGTGGTCTCAGCTACTTGGGAGACTGAGTTGGGAGGATCTACTGAGCCTGGGAGGTTGAGGCTGCAGTCAGCCAGAATTGCACCACTGCACTCCAGCCTGGGTGACAAAGCAAGACCCTATCTGAAAAAAATTATTAAATGACTGAAATGTTTAGAAAATTATTACTCTCAAGTTGTAATGGATCTCTATAAAAAGTGGAAAACATGAACTTTTCAACAATCAGATAATAGCAATGGTAATACATCCAAATGAATTATTTTTGTTTTACTTATTCCTTGTCTTATTTCATGCCTAAAGTTATAAAAATGAAGAAACTGGCCAAACTATATACAAGTTTTATCTAGTAAATTATAGATGGTTTGTTACAAGTAGTTATTAATTTCATTACTAATTTAATCAGTCAGATGTGGTGGCTCATGCCCATAATCCCAGCACTTAGGGAGACAGAGGCGGGAGGATAGCTTGAGCTTAGGAGCTCAAGGCCTGCCTGGGCAATATAGCAAGACCCTGTTCTCCACAAAAAAGGAAAGAAAAGATAAAGGGTAACTAGTTTGATTTAAAAAATAGCTTGCATTTGCATGTTACATCTTTAATCTTTATTTTGCACACTTTAATGGCACTAGATTTTAACAAACTCTCTTAGATGCAGTTAATCTGTAAAATGGGAGTACTAATATTTATCAGATTGATATGGAGCTTAATGAAAATTGCTTAGTAGTAGGTGTTCGTAAATGTTTCTTCCTTCTTAATCTTTACAACTACTAAGCAAAAAACATATATTATCTCTTCCAAGTCAGACAAGTGAAATACCTGGGTTCCAGGCCTTCCTCACTGTGTTAACATGGACAAGACTCTTGTCCTGTCTTGTCCATGTTAACACAGTGAGGAAGGCCTGGAACCCAGGTATTCTATCCCTATTCCAATGTATTCACTCATTTCCATCCATATACTATAGATTCTGGCAATACAATACAGTAATAAACAAAGTTCCTGCTCTCATGAGGCTTCTGTTTTAATGGGAAGCAAATGTCATGTGGTAGTAAAATAAAATAAAACAGTTAAAGAGATGAAAGTCAATGTGAGTGAGTGAGAGATATTTTATGCAGGATCACAGGGGCAAGCCTCTGCAATGAAGTCACATTTGAGCAGACATCTGAAGGCAGGAAGGCATGCTGGTATATGGAACATTATTCCAAGCATGATCAGTATGTTCTAGAAACAGCAAGGGGGCCAATGGGTCTGGAATAGAATGAGGTGGGAAGATGAGATCAGATCCTGTACTGCCCCCTGGTTCCTTGTTCTTACCACACTGCTGTCCTGCTCCTCAGAGAATCTGTAGTTTTACTTTGTACTCCAGGAACTCTTTTCTAGTATTCTTCTCTTTTACCCTACCACTAACTCGTAGGCTTTGTCAGCGCTCCAATAATAATCTACAATGTGAGTTTACAATAGTCCTCCATTATATATTCTTGTCCACTGTCATAGTGAAGGTGTTGTCAGTAACATCTCATAGGCAAGGGCACAGAGGCACTAAAGCACTGCCTGGCTTGTCCAGACCCAGTACACGAGAAAGCAATAGTTTTTGTTTGTTTGTTTGTTTGTTTTTGTTTTTGTTTTTTTTTTTTGAGATAGACCCTCACTCTTGTCACCCAGGCTGGATGGAGTGCGGTGGCGTCATCTCGGCTCACCAAGCTTCGCCTCCTGGGTTCACGCCATTCTCCTGCCTCAGCCTCCCGAGTAGCTGGGAGTACAGGCGCCTGCCAACATGCCCGGCTAATTTTTTGTATTTTTAGTAGAGACAGGGTCTCGCCATGTTAGCCAGGACGGTCTCGATCTCCTGACCTCGTGACCCACCCGCCTCGGCCTCCCAAAGTGATGGGATTACAGGCGTGAGCCACCACGCCTGGCCAGTTTTAAAATTCCAATCTCATTGCACCCTGCAGCCTCTACTCAACCATCCTACCTCTTAATATATTCTTTGAATAAAAGCTCTATTTAGAGTCTCCTGTGACAGTGAGACTTAGTTCTTTTCTGGTGTTTTTTTTTAAAGCTATGCAAATGATGAGATTCCATGAAACTGTCTTCTACCCCGTGGATATAATTTCTTCATGGATGTGAGTTTCCTTCCCATGTGAAGAGATTTGAACTTAAAATGTTTACCTTCATGGAGAAAGAAAATGCATTATTGGAAGATGTGAGTAGGTTCTTCATCTATGACTGTGTTGACACTTGCTCAAATATGCCAATGGACAGGTTAAAGACCAAGTGAAAGCAATTTAATTTTAAAAAGTCAGATTTGTCTAGTTGTGGATATTTAGACAAGAGAAAAACTAGAATGAATTAGCAAATCTTAATTGAAAATGGCTGTAACACTCTTTCATAAAATGGCCTAGTCTAAAAAGCCATTGTCATTCATTCCAGCGATGAGATAGATAACAGTCATTCTATTTTAACTTATAATCTTTTTACTTCACATTTTTCATGATAGGTCTATCATACATATAGCACATAAAGTCTGTTATTTACAACTCCATATATATATATATATATATATATATATATTTGTATAGTGTGTGTGTGTGTGTGTGTGTGTGTGAGACAGGGTCTCACTCTATCGCCCACGCTGGAGTGCAGTGGCACCATCTCAGCTCACTGCATCCTCCGTCTCCCAGGTTCAAGCAATTCTCATGCCTCAGCCTCCTGAGTAGCTGGAACTACAAGTGTACATCACCATGTCCAGCTAATTTTTATATTTTCAGTAGAGACAGGTTTCACCATGTTGGCCAGGCTGGTCTCAAACTCCTCGCCTCACGTGATTCACCCACCTCAGGATCCCAAAGTGCTGGGACTACAGGCATGAGACATTGTGCCTGGCCTATAACTCCCTATATTTTAGAAGTACAATACAAACATTTGCATATTAAGCTATATAACCATTATATAAAACTGTTACCATATTCTAAAACTTTAGAATCACCAGACCTATAAATCAAATGAAATCACAAGAGATTGAAGAATTCAGACTCTTGACCTTGATCTATTTAGCTAATATTACCTAGGAATAGATCTAAGTTAATGAGCCCATACTATAGAGCAGGTTAAAATGGCAGCCTCTAGTTGAATATGGTTAGACCAAGCAAATTTAATTGGAAATGTTGGCCTACCAGGATAGTGCTTATAACCCTGGCCAACTTCACTAACAAATGCCTCTTAATTCCTGCAGCTGTACGTCCACTGCAGTATGGCAATATGTGATGCAAAGAAACCCATGTCAGACCTGCTATGCAAAACAAGTACATTTCTGGCAAGCAGAAACTTGGTGTGTTGCTTCATGATATTTCTCTATAACCAGATTTAGTACGACAGTCAAAAGTAGTTGGCCTATCTGACCAAAAGATCTAATACAGATAACTCTCTTTCCTGAGAAATTACAACAGATGATAAGTATAAAATAAGTTGGCCAGGTGCAGTGGCGTACACCTGTAATCATAGTGCTTTGGGAGGCTGAGGTGGGAGAATTGCTTGAGACTTGAAGTTTGAGACCAGCCTGAGCAAGAGTGAAAATGCATCTCCACAAAAAGTTAAAAAATTAGCCACACGTAGTGGCATGTACCTGTAATCCTAACTACTTGGGAGGCTGAGGCAGGAGGATCTTTGAGCCCAGGAGCTCATGACTGCATGAGCTATGATTGTACCACTGCACTTCAGCTTGAGCTCAGAGGGAGACCCTGACTCTAAAAAAAAATGTTATTGCTCAAGACAGGACATCAGATCTCCTACTTTCTTTTGGTTTAAAAGCTAGTTTCAAGGAAGGATCTGACTTTAGAAGGAGCAAGAAATTTAGGGATCTGAAAATGAATATTAAACTGTTTTTATAGAAAATTTTAAAATAGCAAATCCTGAAGCTAAGGTCCATAAAACTGAAGCAGTGTTTCCAAAGGTAGACTCTTTTTGTTAAACAGGCACCAGAACTTTAGCCAAAGACTAGGGTAGTTTGAGAAGAATTTCCCTGGAATGATAGGAATATTTCTTCCTCTGTTTATCTGCAGAAAAAAGTACTGGCTTACACCACTTAAGAGAACAAATTTCTTCCACAGCCATATCTTGGCCTCTTCAAATACAAGCTGAGCAACGTTTTACCCAGAAGACAGTGACAGTACTGTTAATTTAGTAATCTGAAAAAAAATTTAAATACTCATTTTAATTTTAGTTGTTATGATTTTAAAGCAAGAGTCATAATTATTTTCTGTCCTACTTCGGAGATAGTATCCACAGTCCTCTGTCTTCTGCGGCTGTTGACATCTGTCATTCCTTTGTAGAGTGTTATTCTTCCTGGTTATTAAGATCATCCTTTTTCCTTGATTTTATACCTTCTCTAGAATGTGTCTTCACTGTTTAACAGCTCTGAAAATTCATTTTCATCTGTTCTGAATGTTCTCCCCCATTATATTTGAATATTGCACCTTCTTTATTTTCTCAAGTCTCTCTTTATGGAAATCCATTAGATATGTTAAACATTTTTATTCTCCCTGCCTCTTAACCTCTCTTTCCTATTTCTTATCCTAAATCCCTTTGTGTTGAATTCTGGGTAAATTTCTCATATCTGTCATCCAGTTTCTCTCTCTTCAGTTGTAACCAACCTGAGGTTTAACCCATTTGTTGCCTTTTTAAAAGTGTCCATGACTATATTTTTCACAATTAATAGTTCTAATAGGTTTTTCAGATTTGTTCTATCACGTATTTCTTCTTAGTCTTCATTTTTTTAAACTAACTTTATGCTATGGAATAGGTTGTTCAGTTATTGAAATCTGAAGAGTTGTAATCCTATCTTCTAATTCTGTTGGTTGTGTTTGCTCTTTCTTGTTCATAGTGTGTGTGTTAATTTGTATTATTCTCTCCTCTTAAGACACTTGGAAGACCCGGATTGAAGCTTGTCTCTTTGTCAAGTTTATATCTGCTTCTGCCAAGCACCTAAGGGATATTAATTTTAATGGCCATTTCTACGCTTGGGTTTCCCCAGGCCATGCAGGTAGTATACATTCATACTCTAAACCTATACATGGTGCAGACTCATTGATACACTGCTTCCATAAGGTTCCAAATACACTATTTAGTTCTGCTATAACTAAGAATTCACAGTGCAAAAATTACTGAATAATATTGTAAATGCTGTTTATCAGTTTTCAGTTTTTAGACTTGACTGATAAATGTACAGAAAAAAGTGAATTGTAATTAGATTTATAATTTTTTCCAATGTAAAAATTAGGAATACTTAGGAGAAAGAAATTGACATTTATCCTTTTCAAACATTCTTTCTTTCATATATATCACTTTAAATCGTAAGGTAATCTCTGAAAGGAACCACAGTAGTTGTCTAGGCAAGGAGGAAAGCTAACTTCACTTTGCATTTTCAGTTCTTTCATATTCTTTGAACTTTATTTTTTGCTGTGTAGGTAATTGAAACATGTTTATAATAATTCTGTGATCTCTAGATTGGACTAAAGGCAACAGCTTCTTTAAGTGAGCTTGAGTCTTTGTCTCCAGGATGGACCCTTTATAGGACCGCAGTCTGTGACATCTTGACACACTCCTACCTGCCATAGTGGAAGGAAGAAGTTCATGTACTGCAAACTCTCCTCAGCTAAGCTTCCGACCTTTTTGAGGGGGGAAAAAAATTACCAGAAATCCTTAACTTGAGGGGAAGGAAACAGCATTGACTCCATCAGTCACTGCGGGGAGTTTAATTATCATCTAATCATCACATCTGGCCTGTGACACAAGCTTTTGTACCCCGATTTTGCAGATAAGGACACTTATCTGGCGTTTACGAACCATGTGATTTTGCTAAGTAACTACACAGATGAGCCCTTTTCACCAAAGCACCCGAGTTTCTCACTGTCCCTTTATGAAATTAGAGTCATCAAGCTGTTCCTCTCGCCTTGGTACCAGATCTGTTCAAAGCCGGGCTCAGAGGAAGGCACCTGTCCTTCCCTCCCAGCCCTCAGCAGAGTCCAGGAGCACCAGACTCCGAGGCTCAGCCTGGGCATCCTCGGCGTAACCCATCCGCTCTGCTCTTCCTTATCCACAGCCCAGTACTAGGTCTGCAGAGCGCCGCGTGCTGGCCTGGAAATAAAGTGCTCTGAAGGGATTCCTGGAGTTTTCCAAGCACTGGGGGCCTCCCTGCGAGCGCGATCGTTTGCAGTTAGCACGGAATCCTGGAGGGGGCGCCCGAGGCCTCCCACGAGCCAAGCGCGGACTGCGGGAGCGCCCGCACCACCCCGCGCACTTGAACACCCGAGGGTTGCGGGATCTGCAGCCAGTGACTGAACGCCTGGTGGCTGGGGAAACTTACAGGCAACTCCTCACAGAATATATAGCCTCTGTTCTCAAATAGGATGAGCAGGGGCTTCAAAAAGTTGGGGAACTAGCGTCTGCTTCGGGTACCTGTGTCCTCTGCAGGTGGGAGCAGAGACCTCGCGCTGCCCAATTGCTAAGGGTCCTCGAGTTTGTTAGACCAGCCCCCGCCTCAGAAGTGGAAGCTCAATTATTCCTTCCCAGTAATTAAAATGCACAACCAACAAACAAAAACAAGGCCCTAGTGTTTCTCTGGCACCTTTTGCCTCTTTTAACTAGAGCCCTTTATGACCCAGCCTCTGGCCCTCTGGCCCCCAGGGGCGCACTTTGGCGCCTCCAGCCTCATTAAAGGGTGAAAAGTGGGCTCCAGGAGGCCTCAGACGCTCACCTGCTAGGAGAGGGCTTGGCAGGGGAGCACCGGAGTAGGAAGGACTCAAAGGGCCTCTTTTGCAGTGGCTAAACTCCACAGAGGTAACTAGAGCATATTATTGGATATAAAATTGCTTTTATATCCATATTTGAACCTCTGGGATCTTTGAAAAGTTATTCCCCTATATGAGAAAACCAATCAAAATGCAGAGGCATCTGCACTGCCATACGTCCATTAGCCGTGAATGGGGAAATGAGTCTGTCTCTTCCCTCCCACTGGTGGAGTATATAATCTTTAAGTGTTAATCACAGATAGTACCTGTGCTCAAAAGCCTCCCAAGGAATCATTCCTCGTATGTACATCCTCCTTCTGTACCTTCTATGTTCGGGGTCTTTACCTGAATGAGGGCAGTGCCTCTGAGGGGTCTCGGAGAAGCTCTGAAACCAAATAGCCCTTTACTAGGCAGGAGCCCTGGGAAATTCACCTCACTTCTCTGTGCATCGTTGTTCCATCTGTAAAATGGAGATGGTGATGTCTACCTCGCAGCCTTGCTGGAGGTGTTAGGCTGTGCCGGTTATGCACTGAAGTGAACCTTCCAGAACAGAATGCTCGGGGGCTGATCAGAATCTGGAAATGCTGTCTTTTGCACTGGCTCTTCAAGAGCTTTTGAAGCAGGACCCAGCTTGCTTTCTCACGGCTTCTCCTGCCCTTTCACCCTACTCTATAGTTCCATTAGGAATTCCCTACCTTCTCTCTTCCCACCCTTCTAGCCTCAGTTTCTTTTGTAACCCCTAAATCCCTCCTTCTGCACTTCCAATCCCTGAGAACATTCCTCCATTCCCAAACTTTGGAGTGAACTCACTGTTGAAACCATACTCCTCTCTAATCAATTATAGAACTGAATCCTTCCATGCCTGTAGTATAAACCTCCAGAGGGCAGGGACCCTATATCTCTCTCAGGAACCAAGCACAGGCTAAGAAACATGCTATCAGTTTGTGAATTCCCATTCAGTGAATAAATTTGTCCTTCTCACAGAAGGAGCCGAACACAAAGATATTTGCTAAATTCATCCCCTTAGCTTCATGTTCCAGCCCTTGAGAATCTGTACCCAAACTCATTCTTCCCCTCTATGTCTCATTGCTCATCCCTACAGCATTGATATGGTTTGGCTGTGTCCCCACCCAAATCTCATTTTGAATTGTAGTTCCTATAATCCCCATGTGTGGTGGGAGGCACCAGGTGGAGATAATTGAATCATGGGGGTGGTTTCCCCCATCTTGTTCTCATGATAGATAGTTCTCATGAGATCTAATGGTTTTATAAGGGGCTTCCCCCTTTGCCAGGCTCTCATTCTTCTCTCTCCGGCTGCCATGTGAAGAGGGACATGTTTGCTTCCCCTTCTGCCGTGATTGTAAGTTTCCTGAGGCCTCCCCAGCCATGCTGAACTGTGAGTCAATTAAACCTCTCTCCTTTATAAATTACCCACTCTTTGGCATGAGAACAGACTAATATAAGCAGATTCCTGGCTTGTTCCTTTACTCTTGCTGCTCTGTAACTTGAAATGCCCCGTTCCTGTGTCAGGATCCGAGTTATCTATCTAGGTTCAGGTTCAATACCAGCTCCTCCCCAAAGCCAGGTGCCCCACTAAACAGAAAGCCTCTCTCCATCTGTCTTAGTTCATTCCTGCTGCAATAGAAAATACCTTAGACTGGGTAATTTATAAATAGCATAAATGTATTGCTCGTAGTTACAGAGGCTGAGAAGTCTAAGATCAAGGCACCAGCAGGTTCAGTGCCTGGGGAGGACCTCACCGCTGCTTCCAAGATGATACCTTAAATGTTATCCCCTTCACATGGTGGGAAGGACAAAAAAAGGCAAACAGCTCCCTTGAACCTCTTTGGTAAGGTCACAAATCCTATTCATGAGTGCCCCATTGTTATGATTTAATCACCTGCTAAAGGTCCCCACCTTTTAATACTATCACATTGGAGATTAAGGTTTAACATATGAATTTTGGAAGGACATATCCATACAAATCATAGAACCATCCCTGATTCCTAATGCATTTTAGATACCTTTTAAAAATTATTATTCCTTCTCTTTGTGCCTGTATTTTGATCATTATGTATAGGCCTAGCTCCCTCAACTACATTTTAAGCTTTTTGAGAACAGAAGCTGCACTTTGCCATCACAAGGTTATTAAGAGGATTAAACACAATCACATGGGTTAAAAAAGAAAACAATGCTGCTTGTGTTTAAATCTGCAGCATTGAAAAAGAAACAAAAACATAAAAAAAATAAATGGGCGGCATTGCTGGGCACAGTGGCTCATGCCTGTAATCTCAGCACTTTGGAAGGCTGAGGTGGGAGGATCGCTTGAGAGCAGGAGTTTGAGGATAGCCTGGGCAACAAAGTGAAACTCCTGTCTCTACAAAATAAAAATTTAAAAATTAACCAGACATGGTGGCATGTGTCTGTAGTCCCAGCTACTCAGGAGGCTGAGGCAGGAGAATCACTAGAGCCCAGGTGTCTGAGGCTGCAGTATGCTAAGATTGCACCACTGGACTGAAGTCTGGGTGATAGAGAAAGACCTTGTCTCTAAATAAAGAAATCTGCAGCATCTTAGTCACCCTCTGCCCCTTTGTTACTCCAAGGCCTAGCACTGAGCTAGCTACTCATATGGTTAATAATCTGCAATGTCTAGGTAATTAAAAGAACAAAAGGGCTCTTAAACGCATGCCGAGGCAGCACAGAGCTGCCGTGCTCCCAGCAAGCGTGATAGAATGGACATTGTTTGAGTAAACCTAGCCGACAAAAGAGAATTCTGGTTTTGTCTGCTTAGTTCCTCCACCTTCCCTCCCTCAAGGAGAGCTGTAGTCCTGGGCAGGTGCTATGGCCTGAATGTGTCCTCGAAAATTTATATGTTGAAACACAGTCACCAATATGATAGATGGGACATTTAGGAGATGATTAAGCCAGAGGACTCTGCCCTAGTGAATGGGATTAATGTCTTATAAAAGAGGTTCACACACCATTCATCCCTTTTTTACTTTCTGCCTTCCACCATGTAAGGACACAGCAAAAACACCCTCATCAGACACTGGATGTTAGTGTCTTAATCTTGGACTTCCCAGCCTCCAGAACTGTGAGAAATAAATGTCTATTATTTATAAAATTACCCAGTCATGGGTATTTTGTTGCAGCAGCAGGAAGGGCCTGAGACACCAGGTGTGGTGCAGAACAGGGCCAATGGGGTGCAGGTACCTAAGGAAAGGTGACGGGTGAATAATGAGAGTCATGAAGATAGAATGGGGAGAAATTGTTTGCAGAGCTCAGAAAAGAAGACATGAAGAAAAGGCTACTGCTAAAGACAGGGTTTCCTTTTATGAACATATAAAGAAGCACAGTGTAAAAAGTAAAACAAAAACTTGAGACAGGCACAGTGGCTCACACCTGTAATCCCAGCACTTTGGAAGGCCAAGGCAGATTACTTGGGGTCAGGAGTTTGAGACCAGCCTGGCCAACATGGTGAAAGCCTGTCTCTGCAAAAAATACAAAAATTAGCTGGGCTTGGTGGTGAGTGCCTATAATCTCAGCTGCTTGGGAGGCTGAGGCAGGAGAATCACTTGAATCCAGGAGGCAGAGGTTGTAGTGAACCAAGATTGAGTGATTGCACTCCAGCCTGGGCAATAGAGCAAGACTCTCTAAAAAAAAAAATTAGAAAGGAAAAACTTGAGTATTAATTGAGCCATGTGGATCACAATCTTAATTGCTCATTGCATGCATGTTATTTCCTACAGCAGGTGTGTTGATGGGGACCCAGACTGAGAAGCACCTGAGTTAGCCAGTGAGCGAGGGGCTTCTCTCAGGTTGAGAGTCAGCTTCTCCCCAGCTTGAAGGCTATTCAAGCCCCCAGCTTCACACTCCTCTTGCTCATAACCCTCCTTTCCCTGCTCCTCCAAACTCACTCTGTGCCAGCCAAACCAGCCCATGTGATGCCCCAAGCCCTGGAACCTTTTTGGACCTGCACACTCTTGCAAGTGCAGTTTCCTCAGCTGAGGATGCCTTTGGCTCCCTCAGGTGCCCAGAGGTCAACTTCGAGAGCCTCCTTCTGTGTGAGGCTTTCCCTGAGTCCTGCAGGGAGCATTGGTTCCTGTCATGTCTTTACCTGTGTCTCCCTCATTTGGCTGTGAGCATCTCATCTCTGCAACTCTTTATCCAGCACAGCACCATGCCAGGCCCACTGGAAGAGTCAAGGCTGAGATGTGACTCAATTTTCTTCCCTGTCCCCCTTTTCTGGTCTTGCAGCTCCTACCATCATCATGTTTCTTTATTCTTTGTTGCAGTGATTGGGTCCTCAGCCCACTGCCTGTCTCTCAGCACTCCACAGAACATATCAGGTCTTTTGATGTTGGCTAATATCCTTGGAACTTAAATTATTTAAATAGTATCACTTTCTCTTTTAGGAAGTAAATTAAACATGCAGTAAAAGTAGAGATAGGGGTCTCTTGGGGGATGCAAATTCTTGAATTGTGAAGGGGAATAAAATTCTGTTCAAGGGGTTTCTATTTCCACTACACTACACTACATGAAGACGTTGATTATTTAACCTGTGCATACTAACTAGATTCAAAATTCAGGAAGGTTCAATGCAAAGTCCTCCCTGAAGAACAGGCCCACGCTTGTAATCACAGCACTTTGTGAGGCTGAAGTGGGAGGACTGCTTGAGCCCAGGAGTTCAAGACCAGCCTGAGCAACATAGTGGGACCCCATCTCTACAAAAATACAATTAAAAAATTGGCTAGGCACAGTGGCTCATGCCTGTAATCCCAGCTCTTTGGGATGCCAAGGCAGGCAGATCCCTTGAGCCCAGGAGTTCGAGACCAGTCTAGGCAACATGGTAAAACCTCATCTCTACAAAAAATACAAAAATTAGCCAGGCATGGTGGCACTCACCTGTAGTCCCAGCTACTTGGGAGGCTGAGGTAGGAAGATCACTTGAGCCTGGGAAGTCAAGGCTGCAGTGAGCTGTGATCATGCCACTGCACTCCAGCATGGGCAACAGAGTGAGAACTTGTCTTGTGAGAAACAAAGTCACCTGTCCAAACCCAAAGAATGGACTTAGAGACCTGGAGAACAGCGAAAGTGAGACTTTTAATGATGGTCTTGCAAGATCAGGTGTCTGATGAGCAGGCACACCCAGCACAATTTCAACAAGCAATTTATCCCCTACTGCACAGGTCCCTCCCCTGGTTCCTCATAGGCTGAGTACTATGGGGTCACGATCTTCCCAGATGTCACCTATTGATTGTTGCATAGTGGCTTTAGGCGTGTTTGTTTGTTTGTTTGTTTGTTTTTAGGGTTGTCTTGCTGCATTTTGTTGCAGCCCACAATGCATTGCAATTCTAGTTAGCTTAGGGGCTTTTCAAGTATTTGACTTATGACCTAAGTAGCTGGGCAGGCTGATAGGAACAGACAAAATTAGCTATTTTGCAGGCTAGTAAACTTTTAAACTAAACTTTTTTTGGTTTGGGTAAGGGCAACTAATGGGGAGCAGAGAGGGGAAGAAGGGGAAAGCCAACAAGTAGGCATCGACTATCCAAGCAGGGGCCTTGTATATCCTGTTTCTTCTGTAGTTTGCTGACCTAAGCCGATTCAAGGCACTTTGTCTTGGAGATGGACCACTGTATACATTATTTCCTTCAGTCTCAAAAAGAAAGTAAAAAAAAATATATCTTTTAAATAAAAAAATTAACCAGGCGTGTTGGTGCACCTGTAGTCCCAGCTACTCAGGAGGCTGAGGTGGGAGGACCTCTTGAACCCAGGAGACCAAGGCTGCAGTGAGCCTTGATCGCATCACTGCATTCCAGTCGGAGACAGAGCGAGACCCTGTGTATTAGTCTTTTCTCACATTGCTAATAAAAACACACTCGAGGCCGGGCGCAGTGGCTCACGCCTGTAATCCCAGCACTTTGGGAGGCCAAGGTGGGCGGATCACGAGGTCAGGAGATCGAGACTATCCTGGCTAACAAGGTGAAACCCCATTTCTACTAAAAAATACAAAAAATTAGCCAGGCATGGTGGCAGGCGCCTTTAGTCCCAGCTGCTCAGGAGGCTGAGGCAGGAGAATGGCGTGAACCCAGGAGGCAGAGCTTGCAGTGAGCTGAGATCGCGCCACTGAACTCCAGCCTGGGTGACAGAGCAAGCCTCTGTCTCAGAAAAAAAAAAAAAAAAACACTGGAGACTGGGTAGTTTATAAAAGAAAGAGGTTTAATTGACTCACAGTTCCACATGGCTGGGGAGGCCTCACAATCATGGCAGAAGGTGAAGGGAAAGAAAGCAAGATATGTCTTACATGGCAGCAGGCAAGAGGGCACGTGCAGGGGAATTCCTCTTTATGAAACCATCAGAATTTGTGAGACTTATTCACTATCATAAGAACAGCACAGGAAAAACCCGCCCTTATGATTCAATTACCTCCCACCAGGTCCCTCCCAGGACATGTGGGAATTATGGGAGCTACAATTCAAGATGAGATTTAGGTGGGGACACAGCCAAGCCATATCACCCTGTCTTGAAAGAAAGAAAAAGAAATGTACCATGGAGCACATTTTGAGGATCCCTTTGGGGGCAGAGTTTAGAGCATTTTTACGTTTTCCCAGGAAAATCTTGGGAACCTGATTAGAAGTTTAAAAACTTGGATTCTGGTGCCAGCTCTAATAGTTATGATATTAGGTCATGCTAAACCTTAATCTCATTTGTAAAATGGTCATAGCAATCTCCATTTAACCTCATATATAGTGAAGTATAGGTAAGAATTAAATAGGATAACATATGGGAAATACTTTGTAATCTCTAAACCAACATAAAGACAGACCCAGTATAGACAGAGCCAGAGAGAATGAAAGAATATTCATGTTCCATACCATGTGGGAAGAAAGTGTAAAGGGTATCACAATGTAAAATATGCTCTCATTTATAGAAATCCTAATAAGATGTTTGGACACCAAATACAAAGCTTCTTCAGATGAGAGCATAGACGGGGGAAAGACAAACGTAGAAACTTTTCTGTTGTTTGTTCACCGCTGCATTTCTGTTCCATAGACTTAGTATTGTTAAAGAAATGGGTCAGGCATTATTCGAGCATGTTGGCATGTGCCTGTAGTCCCAGTTATTCAGGGGACTGAAGCAGGAGGATTGCTTGAGCCCAAAAGTTTGAGGCTGCAGTGAGCTTTGATTGTACCACTGCACTCCAGCCTGAGCAACAGAGTGAAACCCCATCTCAAAAAAAAAAAAAAAAAAGGCAGACCTGGGCTCTGGGCTCTGGGCTCTGGGCTCTGGGCTCTGCACCCAATTATGTGACCCTGGGCACATAATTACTTTTTTTCTTTCAGCCTATTTATTTATAAAATGGGCTAATATTAGCTATTGTGTAGCATTAGCTATCAAGATTAAAGCAGAAAACACATATAGAGGCCTTGGCACTGAGCCTTGACACCTCAGATGACAGTTCCACACTGCTGTTTACTGGACTGGAAACAGCCCATGGCTGTGCTTTCTAAATATACTTCTATCTCATCAGCGACCTGACCTCCAGCCCTGCCAGGCTTCCCCACTTAATTTAATGAAAAGAAACACGAGTCAGTAGCATTCATGTGGAGAAGAACGTAACTAATGGAGAGAAGGTCAATAGTTGGCAAACTCAAGAGACAAACAAATAATTGTCTTTTTTCTCCAGCCTTCTCAGAAGTTTTTCTGCTTTCTTCTTCCTCGGAATTCAAGGGTCTCTCTGGGACCAAAATATCAAGACCTTCCAGGCTGCTCTAAGAAGGACACTGCTTCAGCTTCACTGTTTTACTGGCAAGAGAGAGACTGTCTCAGGTTCCTAGCAGGAGGGCGAAAGGAGTGAACCAGGCTCTGGTTCCTGTCTGGCCAGCGTGGGCTGAGCCCACAGAGTCAAGGCTCCTCCTGCAGCCTGGAGTGTGTAGGAATTGTCAGAGGAATCTAATGACACCCTGGTGTAGGCACCTAGCATACTGAGCCATTGTAATAACCTTAGAAGCCCAAGTGCATTTGCTTACCCATCTTATTTTGCTGTTGCTTAAAAAAAGCAACGGTTTTAATGTAAGGGTAATTCTGTGGACTTGACAATTTGCAGAGAATCCCTCCACCCCTGATTTGGCCTCTCTCCCTTGCCTCTCTCCCAATTAGCTAATGTGGCAGAAACTACAAGCAGAACAAAAAAACCTCAGCCCGGTGTGAATTGTGGAACACTTTACTGAACACAAATGAACAGAAGACAGATTTCCTCTGCAGATTAAGAAAGACTCTAGGCGCCAGCAGAGGAAGTGAAGAGAATTTCTAAGAAAATATTCAGGGTGGAGGCAGGAGTTCAAAGGGAAATAATTTAAAGGTCAAGACAAATAGTCCCTTCTGAAATGCTTCAGATGGTGAAAGATGAGGGCCCAGAGGTAGGGAAGCAGAGAAAAAGTGGAGAGGCTCCAAGAGTGAGCATTTGTTTAGAATGCTCTCCCACTGCCAAGCCCTTTGCCTAGGCCATCATCAGAGTGAGCTAGAAAAGAAGGCGACATGACTGAGGGAAGTAACCTGAAGTTTGGAGTTAGAGCTGAACTCACTAGCTAACTAATTAGACATGTGCCCCTACCTGACCAAGTGGCTTTGCATAGCTTAACTGGCCTAAACTTATTTCCTGGTCCTCAAAATACAAATAATGCCCATCTCCTAGGGTTGTTAGGAGAGTTACATGAAATAATAAATGTAGAAGTACTGACCAGAGTAGGCATATGTGAACTGTGGTTCTGCAACCCTTTCCCTGTCCAAGCACCAGAAATAACTTATTCCTAATCTTGAGCTTTGCCCAGGCCAGATGCTTTGAAACACTCCCTGGAGGATTGAGGGACCTATTCCAGCTATCCTCCCGATAAGGGAGGCGACTCCACTGGGGACTGGCAGGAGTCAAACACTCATATACAGCTGCCTATCGTGTACAGCAGTTGTGGTTGCAGCCTGGCAATCTGGGAAGGACTCAGTGGGAAAAGAGAGTAGAATGATAGATAACAGAGGCTAGGAAGGGGGTGTGGGTGAGACAAGGCTCTGGGCCACAGGACCCCTCCCAGGAAGCTGCCATCTTCTCCTGGTTTTGCAGACACCTACCCTCTAGTGGGTCCCTTAGAAGTCCTGAGGGCATACCCAGCTAATAGGTGAGTCTGTGACATTAAGGGATATTTTGAAACTGAGGACAGGAAATACCTCCTAATTCATTCACAGTATTTGGTGCCCAGGACAACCAAAATTGCCCAAGCTATTTATAAACCATTGTTAATACTTGAGCTTGAAAAATCAAAGCCAAGAGCATTTGAGTCCCACTCATTTAAAAACGGTGAGGAAAATAGCATTTGAACCGAAAGTTGATTTTTAGAACAGCTGGTTCTCCCTTACCCCAATACCCTCCTCCTTCTCCAACACAAAAAACACAACCCACACATACACATGCATGAACACATACATAGGTGAACAAATACGTATATATGTGCACACACATACGCTCTCACATGAACACCTGTACATGTATGTGATAAAGTTCCTTGGAGAAAGTCTTCATATTGTTCAATGTTTTCTAGCTTTTTCTCTAAAACACCAAATATATGAGAAGCTGATGAAAGTTTATATACATAGAATGACATCTTAGCAACTGTGCCTCACCACCACCCACCAATCCTTGATGACAAGCTACACAGAAATAAAATTAGATTCCTTCCACACACTATAGACAAAAATGAATTAAAGGTATTTTGAAGACCCATAAATAAATAATAAAACTGTAAGAGTATTTACAAAACATCAAGAGAACACTTGGACAACCTTGGAACTGGGGAAAATTAAGCAAGGGAGAAAAACACATAAGCCATGAAACAAAAACCAAATTTGATCATATAAAAATGAAAAGCTTCAAAAAAAATGATGCCATAATCAAGATCATAAGACATCATCACCGGGCGCAGTGGCTCACGCCTGTAATCCCAGCACTTTGGGAAGCCAAGGTGGGCAGATCGCCTGAGGTCAGGAGTTGGAGACCAGCCTGACCAACAGGATGAAACCATCTCTACTAAAAATACAAAATTAGTTGGGCGTGATGGCACATCCCTGTAATCCCAGCTACTTGGGAGGCTGAGGCAGAAGAATTGCTTGAACCTGGGAAGCGGAGGTTGCAGTGAGCCAAGATCACGCCATTGCACTCCAGACTGGGCACCAAGAGTGAAACTCCGTCTCAGAAAAAAAGAAAAAAAGACATCATCAAAACAAATATGCTGGAGGTCAATATGTTAAGTAAAATAAGCCAGGCACAGAAGGATAAATATTGCACGTTCTCACTCATATGTGAGAGCTAAAAAAACTTGATCTTATGGAGGTAGAGAGTAGAATGATAGCCTGGGCAACATGCTCTACAAAAAATACAAAAATCAGCCAGGCATGGGGGCACATACCTATAGTTCCAGCTACTCAGGAGGCTGAGGCAAGAGGATCGCTTAAGCCCAGGAATTTGAGGCTGCAGTGAGCTATCATCGCACCACTGCACTTCAGCCTGGGCAACAGAGTGAAAAAAAGAAAGGAAAAAGAGAGTAGAATGATAGGAAACAGAGGCTGGGAAGGGAGTGTGGGTGGCGGGAGGGGTGGGTAGGGGATAAAGAGAGGTTGGTTAATGGATATAAGCATAGAGTTAGATAGATAAATAAATTCTAGTGTTAGATAGCAGAGTAGCGTGACTATAATTAACAACAATGAATTGTATATTTCAAAATAGCTAGAAGCAAGGACTTGAAATAGTCCTGAAATGATAAATATTCAAGGTGATGAATACCTAAATACCCTGACTAGATCATTACACCATTACACATTCTATGCATGTAACAAAATATCAAATGTACCCTATAAATATGAATAAATATTATGCATCAATAAAAAAGAAAAAAGAATACAATATAAAAAGATTGGAAGGAAATATTCCAGTACATAATATACAAAGAACTCTCTCAAATTAACAAGAAGATAAAGCAATAGAAAAATGGCAAATTTATAAACTAGCAAGTTTTAGAAGAGGAACCAAAATGAACAATGGTCACATAAAATAAAGACGCTCCACCTCAAATGACAGACAGGGAAGTTAAAATTAACACAACAATGAACAATTTTTATCCATTAAAAATTCATAAAATTGATAGTATCCAATGAAAATGTGGGGCAACTGGTTCTGTCACATAATACTAGGAGGAGTATACATAACTACAAACTTTTATAGAAGTGACATAACATTATTTATTAAAATTTAAAATGTGCATACTCTGATCCAATAATCCCATTTCTGGGAATTTTTCAAGCTAATGAACACATCAGTAGATAAAGCTAGTTGTCTATAACCTTTGTTATAGCATTTTTGTCATAAAAAACCTGAAAATAACTTAAAAATCATTGAAAAGGTGACTCGCTTAAGAAATTTTGCAGAATCTGTTCTATGGAACCTTGCTAGAACCTCTGTTTTCTGTTATACTTTTTGCATGTGTGACTCAGCAAGTCATGCATCTGTTTCCCCATCTATAAAATGAAGGTAATAATGGTATTTACACCACAGATTTATTTGTGCTAACTTGGAAGAACTTGTACTGTATATTGTTAAGTTAAAAAAGGAATTTTCAGGTTTTTTTCTTTAACATTTATGTATGCTTACATTTATTTGTATACGTTTGTATCAGCAAAAAAAATGGACAAGTTATATATATTTGTATATGTTTGTATCAGCAAAAAAAAAATGGAGAAGTAGAGAACACATCTACTGCTTTTGTAATTTATGTCACTAAAAAGAAAACAAAATCACCAATAGAAAAAAGATGATAGGAGACATGTACAACAAATACTAATGGTTAATAACCATAGGGAGAAAAATTCAGCCTTAAAAAATCTCACTAGTTTTCAGAACCTCCTTAATTCAAAGCCCCCTTTTCAATGTCCTGTGCCATTCAAATGAGCTAAACTGTGGGTGCTACAGATACCCACCCTAAGACAAGGCACCATGAAGAGTGGGTGTGTGTGTGATGGGTGCATGTGGGGGATCTGGAGTTGGGGGGAGGCAGATGGATAGGAGGGGAAGATGAAGAAGTAAATGCCTTTGGAGGGGTCAGAGATTGTTCAGTTCTAACACTGACCCTTTTAGTTATTCTTTATGGGATTCGAATCACTTTTTTTTTTTTTTTTTTCTGAGACTGTCTTTTTATTTGACAAACGGGTAAGTGAAAGGACTAAATAAGGTCCTGTTCATACCAGGCCCAGAACAAAGGACAGGGAGACCCTGCCCACCCAGCCTTGCTTCAGGTCCACCCTGAGGTGCTGTCTCCTCCTCCTCCTCCCCGTACCCTCCTTCCCTGTCACACAAGCTGTTTGCCTGTGAAGAGGAGGCTCTGGCTTTTGGAATCTTCACTGTCTTAACTTAGCCTGTCTGCCTGTGACTTTCCATTTATCATGACACCAGTGCCTTCCGCATTTAAGTGATTTTGGTCCCTGCAACAGCATGATTTCAGTCAAACACAAACACACACACATATACACACGAAATGAAAACAGGAGCACTAAAGCCCTTTACTTGGCACAAATCTTTCTAAATAAGAATCCAGATATCACACTGGATCCTATACAAAATACAGGTTTTGTTAGCAACAGAAGAAAAGGTCTCAACGCCAAAATGGCAAGAGATTAACACTTTTACATTATTGAAAAAAATGCATTTAAAATCACTGACCCTTTAAAATACCTTGAACAGACAGAGAAGGGCAAAATAATCTGTCTGTTTGCAAAGGATGAGCCTCCCAGATGGGTGGAAAAAACTGGAGGTGAAAGTCTCTGCTCATCTGGCAGGTAAGTGTTCTGGTGGGTCCAACAGGTTACATGTGAATTCCCTTAGGGTTTTTCAGATCACAAGATTATCAGGCTTACTACATAAAAATCACTCTACGCCGATCATTGTTCAATAAGATATCCAGGTCTTCAAAACTCCTCTACTCCTGCTCAGGAGGCTGGAACCGGTCAGTTTCCCCGGATGGAGCTCACGCGCTCTGGGCTCTGGGCTCTCTGCCGCGGTTAAGGAGGTCTGTGAGTTCCCCGATGTACTTGATGGTGTACTTGAGTGTCTGGATCTTGGTGAGAGGCTGGCCTCTCTGGCTGTAGACAGGTGGCAGGTAATTCCGGAGGGTGTGCAGGGCATCTGCCAAGGTCCTCATCCTGAGCTTCTCCCTCTCGCTGGCTTTCCGCCTCCGCTGGACAGACATCCTGACTTTGGTGCCCTTCTGGGCCTTGGGGCCACCACCGCCCTGAAGGTGGGTGGGCTGGAAAGCTAACATATTGTAGTCCACCTCTACCAGGCCACTGGCCCCACCGACACTGCAGCCTTCGCTGCCCCCACTGCTGGCCCCGCCGTGCTCACAGGGCAGCCCAGCCACAGCTGGACAGGGAGAAGAAGAATAGGATTCCAGCGATGGAGCCGGGGAAAGGCTCTGAGAGGGGGAGGCCTGATTCAGCTCAAAGGGCCCTGCCCTGTCCTTCCAGTCCCAGGAAGACAGCAGGCCAGGGCTGTCAGAGGAGCCCAAGCCATCCTCGAGGCTGAGGAAAGTCTCGCGCAGGTTGTCCATGCCTGCGAGACAGCTGCAGAAGGAATGGCTCCCTGGCAAGTGAGAAAGAAAATTCTGCCGCCTGGCCAGGGAAGAGCTCTCTTTTATGACGGTGGGGGAGAAGTGATGAAGTGGGAAAGAGGGCCGTGTAAAGAGAGTTCAAAGGAAAAACCAAAGACCAAGATGGAAAATGAACTCTTCAGGTGTCATTTTCTCCTCATTGATAATTAGCATCTTCCAGCTAAAATGTCTTTAAACAGAAAGGCCTCCAAGAGAAGAAAAAAGGAATTATCTTGTTGTAACTAAACCAATTAAGGCTGCATAACTAGACTTAGCATTGTGCTGTGGAACTCATTAATGAGGGAGCCAAAGAAAACAAACCTGGGGCATCCGCAGCAAGGAGGGGGTGGCCGAGGGCCCTGGTGGAGAGTAGCAAAGTGACCCGAGAGGGCCTCCATCCCCTCCACCAGGACCTGCTAGATATTTCAGCACAGTTGGGCTGTATTGTTGGAGAAGCAGCATGGTCTAGGGACAAGGTAACCCCTCTGGGCTTTGATTCCCTAATGTGTCCAACACAGAAAACAACAGCTCTTATTTCCTAGGGTTGCTGGGGGTGCCACACACATGAGGTACCCAGTGGATGCCACCTTAGTAAATTTCCCTGGGTCGTATAGAGTGCAGACATGCCCGGAACATGCCTACACTCAGAACGACAAAGGCCAGCAACTCCAGTAAGCCTAGAGCCTTAAAGAGCAGGAAACATCCTACCAGAGGCATAAAACCCTTGCTGTTACCGAGCAGATTTGGATTCCGCACAGCAAACAGATACTAGGAAACAGAAAACTCCCTTAAGCCAGGGACTTTGCAGAATACCTGGCATTTAGCCTAAGGAAAGTCTTTTTTAACAAACCCAGCTGCACCTTGTTTTTTGAAATGAGTCACACCTTGCTTTTTGAAATGTATGGAGGAAGTGTGAAATTAACTAGGGAGCCTCTTTTCCCCACCACAGCTCCAAATGCCACTGAATGTGTTAAGTTGGATGGTTGTGCTAGTTTGCTTCACTTCCTATATGCTCTGCTAGACCCTGGGTTTTGGAAAAGGGATCTCAGATTCCCCATTTGTCCCATGAACTTAATTTATTTTCCATGTAACTAATTCTACAAATTAGTATTAACATCAAGTCGCAGTGAGTTAAAGTGTAGAGTAATATTAACATGTCCTTTAACAGGTTATTTAAGTCCCCTTGCAATTATTGAAAATAAATGTCAATGGCCTAGTTAGAACATTTATGATATTTTTTAATTAGCAAGGCTCAAGGAAGAAAAATCTCAAGTAGGTAATCTGTAGAAGAATGCTCTTAATTTTACCATTTACTGAAGAACCCCAAGCCGGATTTTGAAAAATAATAATATTAATGACTGTAATAAATGTAACAAATGACTCTTGCTCCTTTTTCCTCTCTCTTCTCTCTTCCAATTCTTGTTGAGAAGCCCAGAATCTGCTGATACTATGCAAGGAATTTTATATATTTTTTAATTTTTCTTATTTCAATAGCTTTTGGGGTAAAATGTTTTTTTGTTACATGGGTGGGTTGTATAGTGGTGAAATCTGAGATTTTAGTGCTCATGTCAACTGAGTAGTGTACATTGTACCCAATATGTAGTTTTTTATATCCCTCACTCTCCTCCCACCCTCCCCCTTCTGAGTCTCCAAAATCCATTATACCACTCTGCATGCCTTTGCATGCCCATAGCTTAGCTCTCATTTATAAGTAAGAACATATGGTATTTGATTTTTCCATTCCAGAGTAACTTCACTTAGAATAATGGCCTCCAGCTTCATCCAAGTTGCTGTAAAAGACATTATTTCATTGGCTTTTTTTTATGGCTGAGTAGTATTCCATGGTGTATATATATCACATTTTCTTTATCCACTCGTTGGTTGATGGGCACTTAGTTGGTTCCGTATCTTTGCAATTGTGAATTGTGTTGAAGTAAACATATGCGTGTAGGTGTCTTTTTGATAGAATGACTTCTTTTCCTTTGGGTAGATACCCAGTAGTGGGATTGCTGGATCAAATAGTAGGTCTACTTTTAGTTCTTTAAGAAATCCCCATCCTGTTTTCCATAGAGGTTGTGCTACTTTTCATTCCCACCAGCAGTATGTAAGTGTTCCCTTTTTACCACATCCATGCCAACATTTGGGTTTTTTTTTTTACTTTGTTTATTACAAACCTATTCTGGCTGGGGCAAGGCAGTATCTCGTTGTGGTTTCAATTTGCATTTCCCTGATAACTAGTGAGGTTGAGCATTTTTTCATGTTTGTTGGACATTTGGATATCTTCTTTTGAGAAATGTCTATTCATGTCATGTGCCCACTTTTTGATGAAATTATTTGTTTGTTTCTTGCTGATTTGTGTGAGTTCAAGGAACTTATATGATTAAGCTTCTTTTTAAAAAAGACAAAAAACAAAAAGACCAACATGTTATGGATGAAAATACTGAGACTCTCAGATGTGAAGAAACTCAGTTAAGATTTCCCGGGTAGGAAGTGGTAGAGTCACTAGGGAGTGGTAGAGCAAAGATTCCTTGTCAGACCCCAAAGCTCACTTTCTTTTTTTAAAATCTATTTTCACTCTTTCATGGGTTGTGGTAGAGGCAGATGGCCTGAGTGTGACTCAGAGAGGGAACTCCCAGGGGACACAAGGCAGCTGTGGGGGCCGCTGCCATGGCAGACTCTCGATCCTTGTGTTCTAACTTCACAGTTTTCCACGTAACACTGCTTCTGCTCTCAGACTCCATAACTCTTTTTTCCCTTTCCCACAGCTTCTTTCTAAAACTGCTAATTTCTTGAACTTCCATTTTTAGAAATTTCGTTTCCTAAATGAGACAATATCTGTCAAATCCTTAGTGCACTGTAGACACTTAATAAATGTAGTTCTTGTCATTATTGTTATTGACTGAGTGTTGTCAAACCCACCAGCAACAGAATGACTTACCGAGCTGTGACTCTTCTGCTCCTGACCCCAGTTTCCCAGCCTTCTTGGCCCCTGAAACTATTCTTGGAGAAAGGAAGCTGCCTGGTTTTCATGTTTCTTGATGTGCACTCTCTCTTTGGTAAGAAATAAAGCAGAACCAGACTTGCATCTATCTGAGAAGCATTCTGTGCTCAATCTGAGGGAAATAAAAGTCAAGGACAATGTAACACTGCAGTACAGACATTCGAAGGCTATAGTTAGGCAGACACTAGCTGGTGCTTTTCTGTCTCCAGTTTGAACAAAGCAACAGAACACTGGATAAGGCTAGACCAGACAGGCAAAATTTACACTGGACCCAGTAAAATCTGGCTGAGAGCATGGTGTTGTGGAAGGATGAGACAGAACTTGCCTCCTTTAGAGCAAGTGACTCACCCCTCACAGCCTAAGTATTTTAGTGCGTAAAAGGAGGTAATAACACTTTTCCTGTGTTCTTCTTCTTCTTCTTTTTTTTTTTTTTTTTTGACGCAGGGCCCAGGCTGTAGTGAAGTGGCACCATCTAGGCTCACTGCAACCTCTGCCTCCTAGATTCAAGTGGTTCTCATGCCTCAGTCTCCCAAGTAGCTGGAACTACAGGTGTGTGCCACCATGCTCAGCTAACTTTTGTATTTTTAGTAGAGACAAGGTTTCACCACGTTGGCCAGGCTGGTCCTAAACTCATGGCCTCAAGTAATCCACCCGCCTCCACCTCCCAAAGTGCTGGGATTATAGTAAGCCATC